>NC_000003.12:87888787-88191818 GCF_000001405.40 Homo sapiens
AAGTGAGATAATGAGCTGAAAGTATTTAGCACAGTACTTACTTCAAAATAAGCACTCAAAAAATATTAGCATCTGTAATTACTCTATTTTAGGAAGAACAGAAAGTGCTATAGTTTGGATGTTTGTCTCTTCCAATTCTTGTGTTGAAATCTGATCCCCATTGTTGGAGGTGGGACCTAATGGGAGGTGTTTGGGTCATGGGGGAATATCCTTCACGAATAGATTAATGCTCTTCCTGGTGGGGAAGACAGTGAATTCTTACTCTTAGTCCTCATGAGAGCTGGTTGTTATAAAGAGCCTGGCATCTCCCCAGCTCTCTTTTGCTGCCTCTCTGGCCATGTAATCTCTGCACACCCCAGCTCCCTTTCACCTTCTACCATGAGTGGAAGCAGCCTGATGTCCTCATCAGATGCCCAGTCTTAAACTTTCCAGCCAGCAGAACCATAAGTTAAATAAACCTCTCTTATTTATAAATTACCCAGCCTCATGTATTCCTTTATAGCAACACTAAACAGACTAAGACAGCAATTATATTCATAAAATTGTGAATGACTAAATTTGCAATACAAAATATTTATATATTTCATCTTATCACCTGCCATTCCCTAATTATAATAGAAGATTATTTCATTTTTAGATTTTAGGATGTTCAAACAAGTCTCTTCACTGTTTCTAAAACACAAAAGATCTAATTTTATCAATTTAAGCATAGAAAACATCTCTTTTTTCCTCCAAATTAGGACAAGTGTTCTGACTAAGAAGATTTGGAGGTGAAAAAAACTTGCATATCTGGGTTTGAGATGCTACAAGGAAAATGTTAGGCAGTTAAAAGATCCTTTGAAAACAAGGCCGTCTTGCCTGATAATCCAAACTATATAAAATTTGATTTTTTTTTGTTTCCTTTAAATGAGCCATGTTTGGTAATTTAACATTTACCATTTTATTATTTAATGTCTGGAAACCTATTGCACTAAGTAATTGCCAACTTGCTGAATCTGACAAGTGAAATTCTGATATGAATTTATAATTTATGAGATTAATAATTTAACTGTCATTTAGACATGATAGCTTTTGAGTTTAGATCACAAGTCTTGCACCAGGCACCTCCACTGAAAACATAATTTGGATTTTAAGAAAGTAATAACACATTCTGAAGTGTCATAAAAATGCTTTGTAAATATTTCCTGGTATAAAATTGTCAAAAGACACAAAAGTGATCTTAGGATTTCAATGGAAAGTTTAGAACCCTGTGTTGTGTACTTGTGTACCCAGATATATACCTTGTATGTACCCAGGTAATATAAGGTAAATGTATATAATACCTATGCAGTGTGCTTCTTTTAAAGAACCGTGTCATCCAAATCCACAAGCTGCATGTCATTGATGAAGGGTTTGCTCTTTGTGTCATCTGAAGGGAGCAAAAATAATTCAAAATGATATTCAGTGCATTAACACACTGAAATACAAGTTACTCTTATTTTTGCATATATATGTTTGTACTTAATCTCAGCAATATACCTGAGGGAATATAATCACTTGCAACTTTTGCAGCTTTTATAAAATTTTTATCTCTATTATGGGTCCTCAGAGCAATCCTTTGCGGAGTGAAGCATGAGTAATGTTAGAGATTAAGGTTCTAAGAGGTTTAGTAAACAATTGCAAAACAAGAAACAAATATTTTATTCCAGAAGAATTCTGAACAATGTATGTAAGTAACTATCCTCTCCAGAAGGTGAAATTTAGCTCCTGATGCCTTTTTTTTTTTTTTTTTGAGTATGGGCTAGATTTAGAATAGAGTATTAGATGGGAAAAATATTAACTGTACGGTGGATAAACTTGTAAAACCACCTTAACTTAGTAATCAAGATAAATACCGCCAGTAATGTCATATGAATATCATGTACCCACTGATATTATGGGATGAGAAAGGCAAGTCTTGTTGTTTCAAATTATTCCAAAATAGAGTTTATTATTTTAAAAAGTACACAAATATTGATGCTAGGACTAAAGTTCCAGCTGAAAGCACTCCCTGATTTGACTACAAGTCAATTATTTCTTTTTTTTTTTTTTTTGAGACAGAGTCTTGCTCTGTTGCCCAGGCTGGAGTGCAATGGCACGATCTCGGCTCACTGCAACCTGTGCCTCCCGGGTTCAAGCGATTCTCCCACCTCAGCCTCCCAAGTAGCTGGGATTACAGGCACCTGCCACCATGCCCAGCTAATTTTTGTATTTTTGTAGAAAGGGGGTTTCACCATGTTGGCCAGCCTGGTCTTGAACTCCTGACCTCAGGTGATCCCCCTGCCTCGGCCTCCCAAAGTGCTGGGATTACAGACATGAGCCACCGCACCCAGCTCACTTATTTCTTAATGTCCAAGAACATTTTATGCATATGTACTTACAGTTACTCATTTTAATTTGAATTCAATTTGTTAAAATTATAATTTAAATTCTTTTCAAATCTTCAAAGAGATATCTAATAAAAATACATATAAATTGAGTGTTTTTTGTTAAAATAAAAAAAATGCCATTCTCCATTTTTCTTTGATCAGTGCTTAATTGACATAAAGTTGACAGATTAATTTTCCCTAAACATTTAACACCACTTATGAACCTCATTAATTCAATTTCTTTAGACATTTTAAATTTCACTTACAAATTTTAACACCTAAATCCCTCAAGCATTTCAAAAACACCTAACAAGAATGATTTACAAATCTAATCTAAGTTCCTTTCTTATAACAATGGAACTTTTCCTGCAAAACCCTTACATTGCTTTTCTTTGCCTGAAAAGAATTGAGATTCAGTATCCCCTAACTCACCTCAAAGAATCTGCTTATTATCCAGTTGTCTTCTAAACCCTCTTTATGTTTTACTTTCCTGTTTGCCAAACCCATCATTATTTCAGGTCAAGTGATTGATACTTCGTTGTTTCTCTCACTGAACTCTTTTTCATGAAGGAATGTCCACAAAATCAGCTCTTTCAGTGTCCAATTAGTCATTATGTCTTGTATGTCACATTCTTTATCCCATTCATTCAGACATAATTATTTCCGTGAATTTTTCAACTTCATTAACTTTATAATCACCACTGTAATTAGTCTCTGACTACTGTACAATGCCAGGAGTGGGAGAAACACAGATGACTTAAGGCAAGCTCATGTTCCTGTTGAGCTGCCAACTCAAGACACATTTTCACCCTTCCACATAGTAGTATCTTCTCTTCTTCCCTGGATCTTGCAGAAACCTAAAGGGGAAAAATCAAACTCACATGAGTGTTTTAACACCATCTTTGGTATCAGCCCCTTTATTTCTTTTTAGAACCTATCAATAGCTCTGTGACTTCTGTTCTTATTATTGGGGATAAAGTGTATCACTGGTGTAATTTTATTTAATTTAGATAATAAGCCAAAGATTTGTAATCAGGGAAATATTGTTATGATACAATAAAGGCATAGATAAAATTTTGAAAGCTATAAAATGGAGTATGCTGCAAAACAGCAAAAGTTAGTTTAATTCTGTTACTGGCACTTTCCCTAGAAGATGTTAAAGCCTCTATCTCTTTCATTTAACATTTTTATTTCCATTGATTATTAAAATTTTTCAGTTTAATATCCAGATTCATTGTTATGTTTGTTTGCTTTACAATTACCATAAAGGCGGCAAGACATAGTGGAAAGAATTTGAGCTACAAAATTAGAGACCTGAATTCAAAATCAAGATATTTTTATATAACTTCTCTGACCTTCAGTTTTCTCATCTTGAACAAGGGGATAAAATCAGGCTTGAAAGGAGACAACATCTATAAAGCTACCCAGTATACTTTTAGGCACATGGTAGGTGTTCCCGAAATGTTAATTTTCATGGCATTACTTTTCAACTTAGATTCACTTGTGGTTTTAATTATCTAGAGAATAGTGCATGTTCAAATGCATAAAACACAATTAATTATATTATCGTGCGCCCTTTTGGGGCTTTTTTTTTAATCTATACTGTAATAAAGGTCATTTAGTTTGCATCTGGATCTCTTGGGCATAGTTGCAAATATTTGTATGATGTAGCTAATATCACAATTGTTAAATAAAAAACAGTTTGCTACCATCATCTGTCAGGCCTACCTTTGTCAAAGTTTCCTATGAATAATTAATTAAATTCCTGAAAGGAGAAGGGAACTAACATACCAAAAAAAGAAAAAAATATATATATGTAAGTTAAGTATGATATATTATAGAAGAATGTTTTACAGTGTAGATCTTTAAAGTTTGTTATACAGTTGATAAATTTTTTTAATTGTAAGGGACAACTGGCTAAAAATATAAAGGGATTTGGTCCTGATGCACTTTAATTTCTAGTCCAGTGACAGTACATCTGAAGAGTGAGTGATATATACACAAACATTACTGGTATTTTTTATCTGTAAGTCACTTATTTGGAAACTCAAACCTATCAACTATAATTAAACAAAATAAGTAAATTTCTGAATAGCCAAAATTGTTGGTATCAACCCCAAGCATTAATTCTAGTACATGTATGAGTCTGTTCACATTGTTTATCATTCCTAAAAATGATTCCACCTACAGTTATGTGCTTAATTTACAATGCTAAATTGAGCAATATATTAATTAATTTTTTAAAAAAGTCAAAGAATCCTAATACATCCTTAGATTCCACAATTTTGCAGATTATTATTAGAAATATCAATCCATTGACTCATCTATTTGATACTTTATTTCAACATACCAAATTAAAAGACTGCTAGAGGTAGGCACAATGTCAACAGTAGCAAGTGGCTGGCCAGAATGCCTGACCACGAAGAAGAAGTGTTTAAGCGCAATGGCCTGGGACTATTTAATGCTAGTGCAAATAACCTTATCCATGCCAATGGCTCTTGACAGCATCTTTGCTTTGCAATCCATGACAATAACTGGTGTTCTTTCATAAGACTCTTCCTAAGTCATCTCAGAAAGTTATGCTCAGCATTCTTCTCTAAGAAGACAAAGCAAATATCCATCTAAAATGATTGCAAGTTGTGTCATTAATTTCATTATAATGCTACATAAGTAAAGGTGCATATGCTTCCTTGAGATTGGCCACTTGTCCATACACATTGTATTACAGTCCTTACCTGGTCAATTTTATCCAAATCATCTTCCTCAGTTTACCTAAATTTTGTGAGTTGTTTACTCATTTTTTTTCCTTTCTGCTTTGGACAGCTTTTTTTATTTTTCTTTTTTTTTTATTTCCATAGGTTTTGGGGGGAACAGGTGGTATTTGGTTCCCCATATACCACCAAATAAGTAAGTTCTTTAGTGGTGATTTGTGAGATTTTGCTGCACCTATCAGCTGAGCAGTATGCACCGAACCTGGATGGTAGTCTTTATCCCTCATCCTCTTCCCACCCTTTCCCCCTGAATCCGCAAAGTCTGTTGTGTCATTCTTATGCCTTTGCATCCTCATAGCTTAGCTCCCACTTACGAGTAAGAACATACAATGACAGAGTCTCACTCTGTCATCCAGGCTGGAGTGCGGTGGCACGATCACTGCTCACTGCAACCTCTGCCTACAGGATTCAAGCCATTCTCAAGCCTCAGCCTCCCGAGTAGCTGGGATTATGGGCACGCACCACCATGCCTGGGTAATTTTTGTATTTTCTTACAGAGACAGGGTTTCACTATATTAGCCAGGCTGGCCTCAAACTCCTGACCTCAAGTGATCTGCCCAACTTGGCCTCCCAGAGTGCTGGGATTACAGATGTGAGCCATGTTGCCCAGCCTCTTTTTTTTTTTTTTTTTTTTTTTTTGAGACAGAGTCTCTCTCTGTCACCCAGGCTGGAGTGCCCAGCCTCATTTTCAAAATAAAAGTAAAAAGCAAGGACTCTGAAGCCAGAATATGTAGATGTGAATTTCATCTCTGCATTTACCTGTTGGGCTATCTTAACCAAGATAACTTAGTCTCCTTATACCTCAGTTTCCTTTACTGTAAAATGGGGATAAAATAATACCAATCACATGAGGATTAAGAGAGTTAATATGCTGAGAAAACTGCTGAGAAAAGCCACTAGCAAATAAGAATGGCTACACAAATGTTGGTCATTTTAAATACCTCAAGGAGTTTTTGAAAGGATATAATAGTGTATACAGCACTGTTAGCGTGACGCCTGGCTCATGATTAAGGCTTAGTGAATGGTATTATTACTACTATCACTATTGTAAAGTCAAAATAGTAAATTGGGTATTAGTCCTAAAGGATTAAAGGGGGTTAACCAGTTTGCAAAATTCAAAAACTGAAAGAGTATCTACTCAGACAGGGGTGATGAAAAGAGCACAGACTTGAAGTCACAGATGTAGGTTTGCCTTTTACTAGGTGGATAACACTGAGCAAGCTATTTGATTTCTCTCTTAATAGCATGAAGTGAATCCCCTATCTCATGAATTCTTGTGAAAACTAGATGAAATAATATGTGTGTAAATATGTATATATACACTTTATACAGATTAAATACACATTTAATACACATTAAATATACACAATAAAAATGGACAAAGGACTTGAATAGACATTTCTCTGAAGATGCAAAAATGGCCAACAGGTATATGAAAAGATGCTCATATACCTGTATTATATATACATATATACACACATATTATTTGTGTATACACAAATATATACACACAAATAATATTGATGGGATACCAACTCTCTGTTGGGTATTATATTATCTGAATATATTATACTTAATTATCTTTCTCTTCAAAAGAATTTGACTATTAGGAACGATTTCCTCATGATACAAAATACATCTTCGGATTTTACCAGATTAATAGCAAGTTCAAGTTATAGTAGAAAAGAAACTGAGTTTAAGGGATTTCTGCCCTTCATAGTTTTCAACCATCATCTTTACATTGCTCATTTGACAGATTAAATGAGTGAATATGTCATACTTGTAGATAAAAAAACTTTTTCTTAAGTGAGCATTTATCATTTCTAGAAACTCCTTAAAATGAAGTTAAGACTTTGGTGAATTTTTGACATCTTTCTAATCGTTCATAACATTTGATACAGGTAAGATAAGAGTTAATAGCTCTGGAACCAAAAAAAGACAGGCAGGGAGAGAGAAACACTGGCAGGTGGTGTGATGAGTAAGTGATTTATAGTAGTAATGAATTGAAGCCCTTCCAAAAGATGTATTTATAAGAAGAGTGCTTTAAAATATCATCTCTATTGTTGAATTAGAAACAGTTTTTAAAATAAAATGGAAAAGAGAAATGGTTGTGAATCATTGATTTCCCCCACTTTGAAAGAGTGACATTGCTAGGGACAACAGATGGCCTTCTTATCTCTGAATGCTGCTGTCTCCCAGTGCTGCTCAACAGGGACCCCTCTGACTATTTACCAGCCAATCAATCTCACCTCAGGGACATTACCTGAAAAGAGCTTTACCTGCTCAATGCATACACCAATAGTCATAGCAGCAGCCTGGGCCTCCTTCTGAAGAGCGGAAAGGAGCCTAGAGCCTAACCAGGCTTCAGAAAAGGGACATACAGTCCATCTACTATTTTGTCTGAGTGTCTAATGTGTGCCAGGCACTGTGCCTGACAGTTATAATCACATCATTACATGATGTTGCCCAAGATAGAACATGTTGTGTATCTTTATTCAAATTAATTAGCTGAAAGAACACTAAGTGATTTTAACTTAAAAGTAGGTCTATCTAACTGGCCTTGGCAGTGATTTCCTGACTATCACACCAAAAGCTCAGGGTATATGAGCAAAAATAAACAAATGAGACAACATCAAACTAAAATGCTTCTCCACAGCAAAGGAAACAATCAACAAAGTGAAAAGGTGACCAATAGATTGGGAAAAAGTGTTTGCAAATCATATATCTGAAAAGGGATTAATATCCAAAATTTATAAAGAATGCATATAGCAACTCAATAGCAAGAAAATATGTAACCTAATTAAAAATGGACAAAGGACTTAAACAGACATTTCTCCAAAGATGGGAAAATGGCCAGCAGGTATGTGAAAAGATGCTGTACATCGCTAATCATCAGGAAAGCATAAATCAAAGCCAAAGCCACTATACCCATTAGGATAGCTGTTATCAAAAAGACAAGAGATACATGTCGGTGAGAGTGTGGAGAAAAGGGAACCCTTGTACGCTGTTGGTGGGAATGTAGCTTATTGCAGCCCTTATGCAAAATAATATGAATGTTCCTCAAAAATATTAAAAATAGAATTACCATATGACCCAGAAATCCCTCTTCTGGATATATATTCAAAGGAAATAAAATTATCACCTGTTAAAGATATTGAGCTCCCGTGTTCATTGCAACATTATTCACAATAGCCAAAATATGGAACCAATGCTGGTGCCCATCAATGAGCTGTGAGCAAATGGTTACAGAAACTGTTTATATAATATATAAACATATATATATAAATGTTTTATATATATATATATAATTCAGCCTTTAAAATGGAGAAGATTATACCATTTGCTACAACATGGATAGACATAAAAAACATAATGCTAAGTGAAATAAGCCAGACACACAAAAAAGGAAAATATTGCATGATCTCATTTATATGTGAAATCCAAAAAAAAGGTCAAATATACTTCTTCAATAAGCGGGCCACATATCAGTGCAACCTTGTCAGATAAGAGGGCTTATTCAGTTTTGTTTGAAAATAAAAACCAAAAACCATTTTTAATTTCTTAATGGATATAGTGATCCATGAAAATATTAGCTTATTCGTTTTGAGCTTACTAACTTACATCTGTCCTATGAAGATTTTACATTAACTTAATAGCACCCACTATGGCATATAAAACCCTTCATGATCTGATGACACCCATTTCTCCAGCCTAAATTCTTATGACCTCCCTCTTTCCTGCCTCTCCTTGAAAGCACACATGTGGACTTTCCCAGAAGCAACCATTTTGTTTTATCCACTTTTCATGTTCTTTCACACTCCTGCATACGTCATTTGTTCACTTCCATCCTATCTTCCCACAGTGTCCTGAAATTCTTCCCAGTACCTCCTGTAGGAAATTTTTCTTATCTATCTCCAACCAACTTTGGGATGCATATAATTTTATGCAACCTGTTTATTATACTTATCTCACTATGTTATAATTGGATTATATACATGTCTCCCAACAGTGTAAGCCTGGCACAGATTCAGTGATCAATAATTAGTTGATGAATGAACAAGCAGATGAATAGATCAAAGGATGGATGATGAGTGGATTGTTAGGTGAATGAATAGGTGGATGAAAAATAGATGCATGTACAACTAGATGGATAGTTGGATGGGTGTAGGTAAGACAGAGTGGAAATCCCCTTACAGTATTACCAAGGAACAAGATGGGCTAAAAATAATAACCCAGATTACAATACAGTGTGATAAGAGCTCTGAGTAAGATTACTACAGATCTATATCAGGTGAGTTATTTGTGCAATCTTAGAGTTGTGGGATGATAGAGCCTGGAATTCATCTTAGGTCTTCTAGTCCTAGCCTTTTATTTTACAGATACAGAAAATAAGGCCCAGAATTATGAAATCTCTTGAGGCCTTGGGTAGGTCATTTAGTCTTTAAAAGTTGTTTTAGCTCATGCTGATGTTTTTTTCTAAGCAAAGACAGAATGGGTAGGAAGAAATTGGCATATGTCATAAAACCAAATCATCATAATTCATGCCTCAACAGATTAGCTATTAATAAGATAAAGGTATAATGTTACTGTAATATGATTCAATTCTTCTCTAACATTGTAGTTTAATTAGAAAAAATAATTTTATATGAAAGATGAATTTATTTTTTCATTTAGAAATATAAATTCAGTAACTACCATATACTAGGCTAGCAGATATAACTAGTTAGATATAGTAGCTGACCAATATTTTTTTTCTTAAGGGGTATTTGTTTTTGTTAATGCTTTTGATTTACATACATATGATATTTTATTTATTCATCTTAGTTATTTCTTGCTGAAATTATTCCTATAAGAAATGTTGCTTATTTATAAGCAACTCAGAGAAATCTAAATTGTATTTTAAAAGTAAATGTTTGGATATTGAAAGTGTTATACAAGTTATTTCTGAGGCAAAACATTTACTTTTGTGTATGTTTTTCCTACCTAAGTTACACAGTCAGTCTCTTTACAAGGAATCTATTTCCTTTTTTGTTCTGAAATTTTAACAAGATTCTGCTATGAGGAGCAAAACACAGAATATATTAACATGCTCCAGGAAGTAAGCATTGACATTAAATTTTCTGTGAACTAATTTTTATCTTCTATGGCCCTCTTTCAGCCTTATGAATTTTTCATTCTCAAAATTAATTTAAATAACTTAAGTAAATACTGTCCTTTGACAATGCTAGGCAAGCCAAATAATGTATTAAGGAAACCAAAGCAACTGATATCCTCAGTCTCAGACACAAAGGCGACAATCCTCAGTATTTTTATGTCATCAGCCTTGTTTATACACTGTGGTATATTTTAGGTTCACTTTTCTTTAGCCATCATAAATACTACCAGAATTCTTTCATTAAAACAGCTTTTTAGAAATTCCCACACTTTCCTATTCCTGGTAGCTAGTTTGTTCATTTTTGTTTTTACTTGTCATAATATGGAAACCAGCTAAATACCTTTTAATTTACGTAGAAGTTACTTTTATATGTTTATAAACATTAAAGCTCTGTAGGAAAGCTAAATCCTTTTATAATTTCTATAATTTACATAGTAATTTTAAATAGCCTAATATAATTATTGCATTAAGGCAGTATATCATGGCCGGGTGCGGTGACTCACGCCTGTAATCCAGCTGTGGGAGGCTGAGGCGGGCTGATCACTTGGGGTGAGGAGTTCGAGACCAGACTGGCCAACATAGTGAAACCCCGTCCGTACTAAAAATACAAAAAATTTAGACAGGCATAATGGCTTGTGCCTGTAATCCCAGCTACTCGGGAGGCTGAGGCAGGAGAATCGCTTGAACCAGAGATGGAGGTTGCAGTGAGCCAAGATTGCGCCACTGCACTCCAGCCTGGGTGGCAGAGCGAGATTCTGTCTCAAAACAAACAAACAAACAAAAATCGCAGTCTATCATTTTATGTGTGGGGAATGCATCAATGAGTCAAATAAATAAAAATTACTATCTACATAGGCTCTACACATGTGTGCAGAAAGGCAGATATAAACCAAAATAATTAAGTTCATTTTATAGTATTTTCAATGGGATAAGTAGTATTAATATAAAGAAAAGGAAGTAAGGAGGCATGTGTGCAGAAAGGCAGATATAAACCAAAATAATTAAGTTCATTTTATAGTATTTTCAATGGGATAAGTAGTATTAATATAAAGAAAAGGAAGTAAGGAGGCAAGGGAGTAGAATAATGTTATAATTTTAAACAACACAGTCAGATAAAGTCTCGTGGATGGGATGCCATTTAAACAAAGACCTGAAGGGGGCAATAGAAAGATATATTGGGATATATTGGAATGAACTTTTAAGGCAGCAGAATCAAAAAGTGCACTCTGTCTCTGTTCAGAGAATAGCAAGGAGGCCCATGTAGCTGGAGCTGAGTGGATGAAGGAAAGAGTTGTCAGAAATTAACTCAGACAAGTTTGGGGAAATCAGGTACTGGAGAAACCTTTAATTTAAATAAGATGGTAAGTAATTGGAGGATCTGAAGCAATGGAGGGGCATGATCTGACTTACATTTCAGCAGGGTGACTGACTGCTCCATCACGAAGGTGGTAAGGGTAGAAGCAGGGGAAAAAATGAGCAGAATATAACATAAGCCTGGGTGCAAGAGATTAATGGGGAGTAGACTTGAGAGATTCTAGAGGTGGCAGTGAGAATTTGTTTCTGAATATATTTTAAAGTTAGAGCCAATAAAATTTGCTGATGTGTTAAATACATAAGGCAAAAGAGAAGTAGAGGAGTTAAGGAGAGTCCCCAAGGGTTTTATACTGAGCATCTGGAAGAGTTGCTACTAACCAAGACAGCAAGAGAAGCAGGTTTGGAAGAAGGAGCAGAAATTTGTTTTTGGACATGTTACATTTGAGATGCGTATTAGACATCCATGCAGAAATTTTAAGTAGATAGTTGTGTTTATATGTATAGGATCCCAGAATAGATAAGTTTGGAAGTCATGAGGATATATACATACATAGTAAGAAATGCCATGATAGTACACATAGAGGAGAACGACATCCAAGGACTGGGTCTAGGATAGACACTCCACCAGAAGGAAAGAGAAAAAGCACAGTATCAAGTTTGACTTCGCAACAGTGCAATTATTTTATAATAACACCATTGTTTTAGAGTACAATTATACTGGCTCAATTAAACATCTCAAAAAGATTCTGTTGCTGTAGTTTGTTTTCATACCCCATCATTTGTTGAAATTATGGCAAGAAACCTATTCCAACATCCAGGGCCTCAGGATGTGACTGTATTTGAGATAAGGGCTTTAAAGAGGTAACTAAGATAAATTGAACTCATGAGATTGGGCCTCAAACCAGTAGGAATGGCACCCTTATCAGAAGAGATTAGGACACCAACACAGAGAAGAAAGACCACATGAAGAGATGAGAAAAAAACAGCCATCTGCAAGCCAAGGAGAGAGCTCTTAGAAGAAATAACCATGCTGACACCTTGATCTGGGACTTCGAGCCTCCAGGAGTGAGAAAAATACATTTCTGTTGTACAAGCCACCCAATAAGTAGTAGTGGCCTGAGATTTTCTAGACTTCTTAAGGGGCTTACTTCCGGCTTCAAATTTCTATTATTATTACTACTATTTGTAATATTAAGACAAATGTAGAGAATGAAATTAAGCCAACTGCTTAAGCGATTATGTGTTAGATATAATTGTTCCTTAATATTAACAATTTACATATACACTCACCAAAAATGAAAAAAAAATGGTCTCTACTTAGTATTCTGTGATAATAACTATTTATGTAGGAGGATATCTAGTTTCCTCTATCATCTGTTTCCAGTCAGGAATGGCTTTTCTAGTGACATATTTTATTTAGGCTCTGGTTCACTAGCTTCAAAAATATCCAATGCTTAGGATTAAATCTAACAAAAGATCAGCACGACCTCTACAAAATAATTGCCAAACATTTCTGAGCTAAAGATCTGAATAAATGCAGTAATAAACCATAGTTAGAAAGCCTCAATATTATAAATATATTAATTTTTATAAACCATAGTTAGCCTCAATATTATAAATATATGAATTTTTCACAAATTGATCAAAATTATTTCAGTTGAATTTAGGTGGAAATTGGATTCTAAAATTTATATATAACATACTCTTCAGTACCTAAAACAATAAAAACCAGACATCTTAAATGATCACATATCAAATATATAACACTGTAGTAGTTAAGATTAGTGGTGGTGTAAGGACAGGAAAGTAGCACAATAGAATAAAACAGAGACCCTAAAAAGATACTCACGCAGAAATAATCACCTGATTTATAATCAATATGCCACCACTATGCAAAGGGGGAAGTTATTCTTTTCATGAATTGCTCCAGAAAAATTTAATTTCATTGGGGAGGAATATGAATCTTGATTCCTACCCCACAGCATGGGGAAAAAAAGTCAATTCCAAGTAGATCGTAATCCTAAATGTGAGAAGATAGGAATAAAGCATCTAGAAGGTAACGTACTTCATGACCTTGGGGTAGGCCAAAGTTTTTTAAACAGGACCAAAAGAGGGAAAAAAAGATAAAGATGGACTTGAATACAGCTAAGAATTTCTTTTTTTTGTTTGTTTGTTTCTTTTTTTTATTTTATCATTATTATACTTTAAGTTTTAGGGTACATGTGCACAATGTGCAGGTTAGTTACATATGTATACATGTGCCATGCTGGTGTGCTGCACCCATTAACTCGTCATTTAGCATTAGGTATATCTCCTAAAGCTATCCCTCCCCCCTCCCCCCACCCCACAACAGTCCCCAGAGTGTGATGCTCCCCTTCCTGTGTCCATGTGTTCTCATTGTTCAATTCCCACCTATGAGTGAGAATATGCGGTGTTTGGTTTTTTGTTCTTGCAACAGTTTACTGAGAATGACGATTTCCAATTTCATCCATGTACTGGTACCAAAACAGAGATATAGATCAATGGAACAGAACAGAGCCCTCAGAAATAATGCCGCATATCTACAACTATCTGATCTTTGACAAACCTGAGAAAAACAAGGAATGGGGAAAGGATTCCCTATTTAATAAATGGTGCTGGGAAAACTGGCTAGCCATATGTAGAAAGCTGAAACTGGATCCCTTCCTTACACCTTATACAAAAACTAACTCAAGATGGATTCAAGACTTAAATGTTAGACCTAAAACCATAAAAACCCTAGAAGAAAACCTAGGCATTACCATTCAGGACATAGGCATGGGCAAGGACTTCATGTCTAAAACACCAAAAGCAATGGCAACAAAAGCCAAAATTGACAAATGGGATCTAATTAAACTAAAGAGCTTCTGCACAGCAAAAGAAACTACCATCAGAGTGAACAGGCAACCTACAGAATGGGAGAAAATTTTCGCAACCTACTCATCTGACAAAGGGCTAATATCCAGAATCTACAATGAACTCAAACAAAGTTACAGAAAAAAACAAACAACCCCATCAAAAAGTGGGCAAAGGACATGAACAGACACTTCTCAAAAGAAGACATTTATGCAGCCAAAAAACACATGAAAAAATGCTCACCATCACTGGCCATCAGAGAAATGCAAATCAAAACCACAATGAGATACCATCTCACACCAGTTAGAATGGCAATCATTAAAAAGTCAGGAAACAACAGGTGCTGGAGAGGATGTGGAGAAATAGGAACACTTTTACACTGTTGGTGGGACTGTAAACTAGTTCAACCCTTGTGGAAGTCAGTGTGGTGATTCCTCAGGGATCTAGAACTAGAAATACCATTTGACCGAGCCATCCCATTACTGGGTATATACCCAAAGGAATATAAATCATGCTGCTATAAAGATGCATGCACACATATGTTTATTGCGGCACTATTCACAATAGCAAAGACTTGGAACCAACCCAAATGTCCAGCAATGATACACAGCTAAGAATTTCTAATAACCAAACGATTATTTAAGAATGTTAAAGTAAAGCCATAGTTACAAGATGGTTGCAATACATCTAGCTGATGAAACGCTTGTATCCAGAATATATCAAAAAGCTCTAAAACTAAAAAGAATATCCAGTTAAACACAAAATGAAGAAAAGACTTGAACCAATAATTCACAAAAAAGGATAGGCAGTAGCTAATAAGCATAAAAAAACGTTTACAACATCATTAATCCTCAGAAAAAGACAAGTTAAAACCACAATGAGATATCACTGCACACCTAACAAAATAGCTAAAATTTAGGAGGCTGACAGTTCCAAGTGTTTGTGACAATGACAAGGAAGTGGAAATCTTACACTTTGCTGACGAGAGTGTAAAAAGGTTTAAATTCATTGGAAAACTGTTTAGCAGTATCTGCTAATTGGGACACTCAATACGCTTTGATTAAGCAATTTCATTGCTTTCTATTTACTTAATAGAAATGTGTACATATATATATTCTCCAAAAGAAAAATAGAAGAAGGCTCCTAACAGCATTATTTTTAATGAAGCAAAAACTGAAAACAACCGAAGTGGCCATCAGTAATAAAATGAATAAATAAACTGTGGTATAGTCATAGCATACAATACTACACAGCAAGAAGAAACACTATTATTTCATGCAACAATATGAAACTCACAACCCAGATGTTCTTCAGTAATAAAATGAATAAATAAACTGTGGTATGGTCATATCATACAATACTACACAAGAAGTAGAAGCACTAACTACTACTGCATGCAACAATATGAAACTCACTATCATAATGTTGAGCAAAAGAAGCCAAGCACAATAGAATGCATACACATTATACCACATTATTCCATTTTTCAAATACCAGTAAGCTAATCTAGATTGATGGAAGTTAGTATAGTGGTTACATTTTGTGGAGAGGTTGGAGTGATAATGTTTTGGAGGAGACATAGGGATACTTATTATTTTGACTGCTCATAGTGTCCTACAGCCTGATCTGAGGGGTGGTTTATAATATCTTTCCTTTATAAAAATTCACAAAAGCTGTGCAGTGATGAATTATGTATTCTTCAATATAGTTTTGTTCTTCAATGAAAGTATTTGTCCAGGACTGGTATGGTGGCTCACACCTATTACCCCAACTACTTGGGAGGCTGAGGTGGGAGGATAGCTTGACGCCAGGAGTTTGAAACTAGCCTGAGCAACATAGCAAAACCCTGTCTCTGAAAAAAAAAATTAAAAGTTAGTTGAGTTTGGTGGTATATGTCTGTAGTCCCAGCTACTCAGGAAGCTGAAGCAGGAGGATTTCTTGAGCCCAGGAGTTCAAGGCTGCAGTGAGCTATGATCACGCCAGTGCCACTCTAGCTTGGGCAACAGAGTGAGAACCCATCTCAAACAAACAAAAAAAAAGTTTGTGTAAAAAAAAAACACCAAGAAAAAGAAATTGGTGCCATTTACATTAACTGACTCATCCAAATTCTCTACTCAAAACCTGACTTTTTTCACTGACATTTTTGCTGCCCCTTAATTTTTAAAATGTATACATTTTCTTTTTCCTCATGAGTATATAGGTTGGTTAGGAGCAACAGAAACTTGGTGCAGCCTGCACAAAGACATAATTGCTATCATAACAAATTGCAGAACGTTGGGATGCTCCCTTTGACAATACTGACAGTCATTGAGACATACTTTTTGAAATGAATTTCTTCTAAAGAATGTTATTACAATTTGTCTATGTTTTGTGTGAATGTGAGAGCAATGTAAATTCCATTCAAGGAGGACTCAAAGGTGTAACCTTCTCTAAATACTTTATTTAGCAAAAAAAAAAAAAATGGAAACTATCATTCTAATCTTTCTTCAGAGAAATAGGCACAAAGATAGCATTTTTTAAAGCTTTGAAGTAGAATGTTTGAAGACTAAAATGTGGTGCCTATGAATGAGCATTTGGGTGATAAACTGCAAGGAAATATTATAGAGATACGATATTAAGTCAAGACAATGATTCCCATTGGAAGAAAAATGAAGGCAACTGGGATCAGGAAAAAAGGGGGACTTTAGGATGGCTGGCAAGGTTCAATTTCTTGACCTGGATGATTGTTACAAGAATGTTCACCTTATAAGGATTAATTGAACTATACATTATTGTGTTGTGCATTATTTTACAGTAAAAAGAGAAAAAATACAATAAAACGCTAAATTGTCACTTGGGAAAAAAAGTGTTCCAATATATAACTCAGGGTAAAAATACCAAAGGTTAAGGCTATAGAGTAACTTTTGAAAATTGGTCTTCTGAAACTAACTTTAATTGAAGTTTATTATGTATAAGGCCTTATGTGAAACTTGCCTGCCCTTCTTTATCTGTATTGATACCAAACTGTATGTGTTGTAAAAAGCAAGCACTTTCAAGAAAGTGGAAATAATATGACTGAACAAGTCATTATATGACTATTTTGATAAATATTTCTGTAATTCCTATAGAACAAAGAAAGAGAATAATTTTTATAATGTTTTCTCACATTCAATTTTGAAATAAAAATCTTTTCTTGTTGACAGTCTCCTGATAAATAATGCTGCCTACCAAACTAAACTGTAGTTAATGAAAATTTTTTTTTTAATTTTTTCTTTCTTTTTCTTTATTTCAATAGGCTTTTGGTAACAGGTGGTATTTGGTTACATGAATAAGTTCTTTCATGGTGATTTCTGAGATTTTGGTGCACCCATCAACCAAGCAGGGTACACTGTACCCAATGTGTAGTCTTTTATTCCTCGCCCCCCTCTCACTCATTCCCCCGGGTCCCCAAAGTTCATTGTATCATTCTTATGCCTTTGCATCCTCATAGCTTAGCCCCCACTTGTAAGTGAGAACATATGAAGTTTGGTTTTTCATTCCTGAGTTACTTAGAATAATGGTCCCCAGTTCCATCCAGGTTGCTGCAAATGCCATTATTTTGTTACTTCTTATGGCTGAGTAGTATTCCATGGTATATATACACCACATTTTCTTTAGCCACTCGTTGATTGATGGGCATTTGGGCTGCTTCCATATTTTGCAATTGCCACTTGTGCCACTATAAATATGCATGTGCAACTATCTTTTTTTATATAATGACTTCTTTTCCCCTGGGTAGATACCTAGGAGTGGGATTGCTGGGTCAAATGGCAGTTCTACTTTTGGCTCTTTAAGGAATCTCCATACTGTTTTTCATAGTGGTTGTACTAGTTTACATTCCCACCAACATGTAAAAGTGTTCCCTTTTTACCACATCTATGCCAACATTTATTTTTTTTTTTGATTATTGGTCATTCTTGCAAAAGTAAGGTGGTATTGCATTGTGGTTTTGATTTGTATTTCCCTGATAATTAGTGATGTTGAGTGTTTTTTCATGTTCATTGGCCATTTGTATATCTTCTTTTGAGAATTGTCTATTCATGTTCTTAGCCCACTTTTTGAAGGGATTTTTTTTTTTGCTGATTTTTTTTAGTTCCTTGTGGATTCTGGATATTAGTCCGTTGTTGGATGTATATTTAAACACACCAAAAAATATGAAATTAACATAGCTATGTTTTCATAATTAAAAAATAAAAATGTCATTTTGTCTAAAACAAAATTGATTTGAAAAATCATGTTCAGGCATAGAAAATTCATGAGATGTTCTAAAGGTAAAAGCCACCATAGTCCCCATTTATCCTAGAAATATTCACACCATATCAACCACAAGACAGACTCTTTTTTAAAAGGTATATAGGAAAGTCGTTGCTCTCAAAAACCTACAGCTTAAAGGAATAAAGTAAATATTACTTAAATAGACTGGAGGCAATAGAGTAAAACAAAATCATAATACTAGAATTAAATATAGGTAAGTAATAACATGGTTTCTGAATGGAGAAGTACCTTCTCAAGATGAAAGCAATGGAA
Source organism: Homo sapiens (assembly GCF_000001405.40). Classification (NCBI taxonomy): domain Eukaryota; kingdom Metazoa; phylum Chordata; class Mammalia; order Primates; family Hominidae; genus Homo; species Homo sapiens. Next base: position 87,907,834 of record NC_000003.12, read on the forward strand.
TAGCAAAGAAAGAATAATTTTTGATAACATTTTTAACCAAAAGAAAGAGGCATCAGCAGACTGATTATATGTTGGAATACAAATTAGTATAAGTTTCTGTCTGGAAACAATTTGAAAGTATGTGTTGAATTTATTCTTTTAAATTTATGTTCTAATAAATTTGAACTAATATTTCCATTTCAAGTCATCTATCCTAAGGAAATAATCAGAATTTGGAAAAATACTTTTTCGAATCTTTCCATAAGTGTTATACCAACACATATAGAACATAAAAGTATAATTGGCAACCTATCTATTGAGAAGTTTCCCATCAGAGATTTTATTCAAGTTGATATTTGAAATGTTGCCTTATATTACTATTAATCTATCATAAGAGATTCTGATACAGTGATACTTTATGTAGAACAGTTCAATAAATACCATGTAAGAAAACAAAAAGAAGTAGATTGATATCACTTAAATTAAAAACCAGTGAATTTTCTATTTTGTGGAAAATAACCATATTGCTAAGTTATTATTATGAAATGTGTGTGCAGCTAGCTAGAGTCAGCTGGTAGGAAAGTCTTCTCGGTACCTTATTCCCAGAGATTCTGATGTGTTTTCTTAAATATATTCTGTTAAATGTTTCCCAACTGGGATAAATGTCACTGTGGTATTTTTAATCATAGTAATATAATTAGTTTCCAAGAACTATCTGGTAACGTAAATGTATTTGGAGATTATAATGTAGTTTCTGTATTTTGAATAAAATTCTACTTAGAGAAAGAATTTTATAAATATTTAGAGTCATGTCCATTTCCTCTTTTTAAATCTGGCACCCTACATTCTAATTTCAATAGGTTTCATCAGAACCGCACTTAGCAGATGCTTAATCATTGTCTACAGAATGAATGGATGAATAAACTTGTGTGGGTATTTGTGAATCTTTAAGACTTAGTGCTCATCTGTTTCTTAAAGAAACTTGCTATTTCTCAGTGAAAGTGTCTTTCACCTGCTGAAGAGAGATTAGGCTTGTAGAAATTCTCATCTGGCAATGGTTTATTTTGTTCTTTTTAGAGGAAAACCTTTCTTAATAAAATAATTTAACAAAAGATAAAAACATATTTGTGCATTGAAAGTGTTTGCACAGGTTATTTTATGTTTTAGTAGAGTAGTAGATATAATTAATGTTCTTAAATATCCAGTTCTTTCCCACTTCTGTGTATGAGGAAGCCTATACTGCTTCATTTCTTGGAGTTAGTCATGGTCATGTAACTAATTCTAGCAAATGAGATGTGAGGGAATATGAGAGTCACCAGTGGTAAATACTAGTGCCCAACTCTCTAGCCCATTCTTCCCCTGCTGTGCAAAGGAGATAGCATATGGTGTGGAGTGGCTATATGGAAAAGAATCCCCGGTCAAATCATGTTGAACATGTACAGTGAGCAAGAAATAAGTTGTGTTGCTTTAAGCTACTGAAATTTTGGTGGTTTGTCACCACAGTAAAACCTAGCCAATGTGCTTCAGTATACCTCTGGTCAGTATCTAATTACAAAATCTTTCTTCATGACCACATACACTTCCATTAATGGTGAAAAAAGTCAACTCGTTACGTGCTCACGATATGCTTCCTCTGCTTAATATAAAAGCAGAACAACTCACTGATATGCATTGAGAAGACAGTGCATCAAATCAGTTTCCCATTCTCTTTCCCTTTAGAAGCCTACTAGTAACAAACACTTGGTAGAAATTCAAGGGGCTTCGAGATACAAAATCAATTTTACCAGAAAGAATAAGTTCAGCTGCATAAAACAGAAATAAAAAATAAGATTTTCTAAACCATCATAGAAGTTTATTTTTTCATTTATGTAAAGAAGCTAAGCTTGAAACCTAGGTCTAAACAGACAGCCCCAGAGTCTTTAGAAATCCAGGCTTCTACATTTCTGCTATATTCCTCCATTCACGACTTTATTTTCAAGGTCTCTCAGTTGGTCTAAGAACTGCTGATGCTCCAGCCATTACACTGGCATGCAGGTCTTTAGCGGGAGAAAGAGGAAAATGACAAAAGAGTGTACTATCCAGTTTTCTTTAAGCATACTCCATGGTCTTTTATTCTTCTTATTTGATTAATACATATTAACCGATTAACAGATTAATCTATTCTTAATACAGACTAACTACAATCTGTACCATACTTCCTGCCAAAATTCTATCCTATGTTGTCTATAATAATTTTCTATATTAAATATTCTTTTAACTGTTTAAATATCTAATCTTATCCCTTCTTATTCTTCATATACATATTGATATTACTCTCCTAAGTATACCTTCTCTCTTTTCTTGATAAATTTAAGGAAGCTTTTTATCCCAAATTCTTTGGCACCAATTGCAACTTGAAACTTTTCCTGTGTTGTATGAAAGGAGAAAAGGTTACCATACTCCTTGACAAGGATGGAAGAGGCCCTCGGGCATGACAAGACACATATGGTTAAGACATTGCCACCTATTTTGTGGCATCTAACCATCATTTTTTTCAGACTTGAAACCAACAAAGATCAAAAAAGACAATTACATAACAGTAAAGGGTTCAATTCAACAAGGAAACCTAACTATCGTAAATATGTATGCACCCAACACAGAAGCACCCAGATTCCTAAAGCAAGTTCTTAGAGATCTACAAAGAGACTTAGAGTCCCGCACAATAATACTGGGAGAATTCAACACTCCACTGACAGTATTAGACAGATCACTGAGGCAGAAAATTAACAGAGATATTTAGGATCTAAACTCAACATTGGACCAAATGGATCTTATAGACCTCTACAGAACTCTGCACCCAAAAACAACAGAATATAAATTCTTCCCATCACTATATGGCCCATACTCTAAAATTGAACACACAGTCAGACATAAAACAATCCTCAGCAAATTCAAAAGAACAGAAATCATGCTAAACATACTCTTGGACTCCAGTGCAATAAAAATTGAAATCAATACTTTAAAAATTGCTTAAAACCATCCAAATACATGGAAATTAAACAACCTGCTCCTGAATGACATTTGAGTAAATAATGAGATTAAGGCAGAAATCAAGAAGTTCTTTGAAACTAATGAGAACAAAGATATAACATACCACAATCTCTAGGACACAGCTAAGGCAATATTAAGATGGAAATTTATAGCACTAAATGCCTACATCAAAAAAGTGAGAATAATCTCAAATTAACAACCTAAGATCACGACTAAAAGAACTAGAGAAGCAAAAGCAAACCAAAAAGCTAGCGGAAGACAGGAAAAAAACAAAATCAGAGCTTAATCGAAAGAGATCAAGACACAAAAAAACACTCGAAAGATCCACAAATCTAGGAGTTTGTTTTCTGCAAAAAATAACAAGATAGTCGACTAGCTAGACTAATAAAGAAGAAAAAAGAGAAGATCCAAATAAACACTGTTAGAAATGGCAAAGGGGATGTTACCGCTGACCACACAGAAATACAAACAACCATCAGAGACTATTATGAACACCTCTGTGCATACAATCTAGAAAACCTAGAAAAGATGGATAAATTTGTGGACACATATACCCTCCCAAGACAGAACCAAAAAGAAATTGATTCCCTGAATAGACAATTAACAGGCTCCAAAACTGAATCAGTAATAAATAGCCTATCAGGACTGGACAGATTCACAGCAGAACTGCACCAGCTGTACAAAGAGCTGGTTAACATTTCTACTGAAACTATTTCAGAAAATTGAGAAGGGATATGAGGCCAGCATTATCCTAATACCAAAATGTGGCAGAGACACAACAAAAAAGGCATTATCCTTGATGAATATTGATGCAAAAATCCTCAATAAAATACTTGCAAATTGCATCCAACAGCACATTGAAAAGCTAATCCACCACTCTCAAGTAGGTTTTATCCCAGGAATGCAAGATTTGTTCAACATACACAAATCAATAAATGTGATTAACCACATAAACAGAATTAAAGATGAAAACTATGATTGTCTCTCAGTAGATGCAGAGAAGGCTTTCAATAAAATTCAACTTCCTTTCATGTTCAAAAACCCTCAATAAACTGGGTATCGAAGAAATATACCTCAAAATAATGAGAGCCATCTATAACAAACTGACAGCCAACATCATACCGAATGGGCAAAAGCTGGAAGCATTCCCCTTGAAAATCAGCATGACAAGAATGTCCTCTATCACCACTCCTATTCAACATAGTATTGTAAGTCCTGGCCAGAGCAATCAGACAAGAGAAAGAATAAAAGGCATCCAAATAGGAAGAAAGGAAGTCAAACTATCCCTGTTTGCCAATGACATGATTCTATATCTAGAAAACCCCATAGTCTAAGCACAAAAGCTCCTTAAGATAACAAAAAAAAAAACTTTAGCAAAATTTCATGATACAAAATTAATGTGCAGAAATCACTAGTATTGTTATAAACCAACGACAGCCAAGACGAAAGTCAAATCAGGAAGGCAGTCTCATTCACAATTGCTAAAAAAAGGATAAAATACCCAGGAATACAGCTAACCATGGAGGTGAAAGATTTCTACAAGTAGAACTACAAAGCACTGCTCAAAGAAATCAGAGATGATACAAACAAATGGAAAAACATTCCATGCTCATGGATAGAAAGAACCAATGTCATTAAACTGGCCATACTGATCAAAGCAATTTACAGATTCAATGCTATTCCTGTCAAACCACCTATGACATTCTTCACAGAACTAGAAGAATAAACTATTAAAAGTTCGTATAAAGTTTAAAAAAAAAAAAAGTCTGAATAGCCCAGGCAATCCTAGGCAAAAAAAAAAAAAAAAAAACAAAGCAGGAAGCATCATGCCACTAAACTTCAAGCTACACTACAGGGCTACAGTAACAAAACAGCATGGTACTAGTACAAACACAGACACATAGACCAATGGAACAGAGTGGAGAGCCGAGAAATAAGGCTCCACACCTACAATCATCTGATCTTTGACAAAGCTGACAAAAATGAGCAATGAGGAAAGGACTCCCTATTCAATAAATTGTGCTGGAATAACTGGCTAGTCATATGCAGAAAATTGAAATTGGACCCCTTCCTTATGCCACATACAAAAATCAACTCAAGATGGATTGAAGACTTAAATGTAAAACCCAAAACTATAAAAGTCCTGGAAGACGACCTAGGCAATATGATTCAGGACAGAGCAATAGGCAAATATTTTATGATGAAGACCTCAAAACAACTGCAACAAAAGCAAAAATTAACAAATCGGACCTAATTAAATTTAAGAGCTTCTGCACAACAAAAGAAACTATCAACAGAGTGAACAGAGAGTCTACAGAATGGATGAAAATTTTTGCACACCATGCATCTGACAAAGGTCTAATATTAAGCACCTATAAGGAACCTAAAAAACATTAAAAGACAGAAAATAGCCCCATTAAAAAGAGGACAAAGGGCATGAACAGACACCTTTCAAAAGAAGACAGACATGTTGCCAACAGTGATACCAAAAAAAGCTCAACATCACTGGTCATTACAGAAATGCAAATCAAAAGCACCATGAGAGACCCAGTAACACCAGTCAGAATGGCTATTAATAAAAAGTGAAAAAATAACAGATGCTAGTGAGTTTGCAGAGAAAAAGGAGCACTTATACACTGGGAGTGTAAATTAGTTCAACCATTGTGAAAGACCATGTGGCAATTCCTCAAAGACCTAAAAATAGAAATACCATTTGACCCAGCAATCCCATTACTGGATATATACCCAAAGAAATATAAATTGTTCTGTTATAAAGACACATGTATCCATACGTTGATTGCACCACTATTCACAATAACAAAAAAAATGGAATCAACCTAAGCACCCATCAATGGCAGATTGGGTAAAATAAATGTGGTACAATAAATACACCATGGAATACTATGCAACCATACAAAAGAATGAGATCATGTCCTTTGCAGCAACATGGGTAGAGCTGGAGACCATTATTAGGAAACTAACACAGGAACAGAAAACCAAATATCACAGGGATCATGGCAGACAAGAGGCAGGACTAGATTGCAGCTCTGACTTGGACAGACAGAGCAGCATGTGGAGGCTCGCATCATGAATTTTTGCTCCACAACAACTGAAGGAATAAATCAGGAAACCTGAGAGGATCCACAGACCCCCTGAAGGAAGCGGATTGCTCCTGCAGGACCCGGCAGACACCCCAAATACTGTGATGCCCAAACTGTGGAAGTGGGAAAGGGAGATGGTCCAGGAAGCTGAAGGCCTACATTACAAGGGAAGATTTTGACCTTACCTGGAGCTGAGTCAATTTAGAGAGCCCAGCATAATACAGGGGTAGAGGTGGCAGCAGGAAACCCCTGGAAGCTCACTGGGTCCCCTACCAAGCCGTTTTTGCCTGATCTCAGAGAAGACCTTCAGGAGGGAGGCCAGAGGCACTGGGAAAAGGCCACAGGGAGAAGGAAATCTCCAGCTGAATTTTGTAACAATTTGAACTGATCGAGAAGCCTCCTGGCCAGAACTCGGCAGAGGGCATGAATCCGATATTGCAGATTCCATGGGCAGGGGAAGAATCAAATCCCTTTTCTTTCACAGCTGAGGTGGGTATCCTGGGGCAAGTTCTCAAACCCTGCTCACACACGGCCCAGAAACACACAGTGCTGTTAGAGGGGGCACGCTGCAGGTCAGACCAGCCTTTCTGATTGTTTAGGAGACAGGTGAGGCCTGTAACTGCCAGCTTTCCCCCCACTTCCCTGACAACCTGCATGACTCAGCAGAGGCAGCCATAATCCTCCTAGGTACACAATTCCATTGACCCGGGAACCTCACCCCCATCCTCCACAGCAGCCCCAGCTAGACCATCCAAGTAGAGTCTAAGTTTAAACATGCCTAGCCCTGCCCCCACCTGATGCGCCTTCCCTACCCACCCTGGTAGCTGAAGACAAGGGGAATATACTCTTGGGAGTTCTAGGGCCCCACCCACCACTATTTCCTCCCCATACTACCACAGCTGATGCTCTCTGGAAAGCACCACCCCCTGGCAGGAGGCCAGCCAGCACAAAAATAGAACATTAAACCACGTAAGCTAAGAACCCTCACAGAGTCTATTTCACCCCCCTACCACCTCCACTAAAACAGGTGCTGGTATCCATGGCTGAGAGACCCAAGGATGGTTCACATCACAGGACTCTGCTGTGCAGACGACCAACCCCCAGTACCAGCCCAGAGGCAGGTAAATTTGGTGGGTGGTTAGATCCAGAAGAGAGACAACAATCACTGCAGCTCGTCTGTCAGGAAGCCACGTCCATAGGAAAAGGGACAGAGTACTACATCAAGGGAACATACTGTGGGACAAAAGAATCTAAATAACAGCCTTCAGGCCTAGACCTCCCCTCTGACAGAGCCTACCCAAATGAGAAGGAACCAGAAAACCAACTCTGGTAATATGACAAAACAAGGTTCTATAACACCCCCCAAAAAATCACACTAGCTCACCAGCAGTGAATCCAAACCAGGAAGAAACCCCTGAATTACCTGAAAAAGAATTCAGGAGGTTAGTTATTAAGCTAATCAGGGAAGCACCAGAGAAAGGCGAAGCCCAATGCAAGGAAACCCAAAAAAACGATACAAGAAGTGAAGGGAGAAATATTCAAAGAAATAGACAGCATAAAGAAAAAAACAATAAAAGCTTCAGGAAACATTGGACACACTTACAGAAATGCAAAATGCTCTGGAAAATCGGAAGACCAATAGAATTGAACAAGTAAAAGAAATTCAGAGCTTAAAGACAAGGCCTTTGAATTAAACCAATCCAACAAAGACAAAGAAAAAAGAATGAGAAAATATGAACAAAGCCTCCAAGAAGTCTGGGATTATGTTAAACAATCAAACCTAAGAATAATTGGTGTTCCTGAGGAAGAAGAGAAATCTAAAAGTTTGGAAAACATATTTGGGGAACTAATCAAGGAAAACTTCCCCAGCCATGCTAGAGACCTAGAAATCCAAATACAAGAAGCACACAGAACACCTGGAAAACTCATCGCAAAAATATTATCACCTAGCCACACTGTCATCAGGTTATCTAAAGTTAAGATAAAGGAAAGCATCTTAAGAGCTGTGAGACAAAAGCATCAGGTAACCTATAAAGGAAAACCTATCAGATTAACAGCAGATTTCTCAGCAGAATCCTTATAAGCTAGAAGGAATTGGGGCCCTATCTTCAGCCTCCTCAAACAAAACAATTATCAGGCAAGAAATTTGTATCCAGCTAAACTAAGCATCATACATGAAGAAAAGATACAGTCTTTTTCAGACAAATGACAAGAGAATTCGCCATTACCAAGCCACCACTACAAGAACTGCTAAAGGGGGCTCTAAATCTTGAAATAAATCCTGGAAACACATCAAAAAAGGACCTCTTTAAAGCATAAATCACACAGGACCTATAAAACAAAAATACAGTTAAAAAGCAAAAAAGAAAAAAAAAAAAAAAAAAACAAGGTACACAGGCAACAAATAGCATGAAGAATGGAATGGTACCTCAATCTCAATACTAACATTGAATGTAAATGGCCTAAAGACTCCTCTTAAAAGATACAGAACTTCAGAATGGATAAGAACTCATCAACCAACTGTCTGCTACCTTCGGGAGACTCACCTAACACATAAAGACTCACATAATCTTAAAGTAAAGGGGTGGAAAAACACATTTCATGGACATGAAAAGCAAGCCAGGATAGCTATTCTTATATCAGACAAAACAAATTTTAAAACAACAATGGTTAAAAGAGACAAAGAGGGACAGTCTATGATGGTAAAAGGTCTTGTCCAACAGGAAAATATCACAATCCTAAACATATATGCACCTAACACTGGAGCTCCCAATTTTACAAAGCAATTACTAATAGACCTAAGCAATGAGATAGCAGCACAATAATACTTCAATACTCCACTGACAGCACTAGACAGGTCATCAAGACAGAAAGTCAACAAAGAAACAATGTATTTAAACTATACCCTGGAACAAAGGGACTTAACAGCTATATGCAGAGCATTCCATCCAACAACCATAAATACACATTCTATTCAACAGCACATGGAACTTTCTCCAAGATAGACCACATGATAGACCACAAAACAATTCTCAATAATTTTAAGAAAACTGAAATTATATCAAGCACTCTCTCAGACTACAGTGGAATAAAACTGAAAATAAACTCCAAAAGGAACCTCCAAAACCATGCAAATACATGGAAATTAAATAACCTACTCCTTAATGATCATTGAGTTAAAAATATATCAAAATTAAAATTAAAAAATTCTTCAAACCAAATGAAAGTAGTGAGAAAACCTATCAAAACCTCTGGGACACAGTCAAGGCAGTGCTAAAAGGAAAGTTCATAGCCCTAAATGCCTACATCAAAAAGTCTGAAAGAGCACAGACAATCTAAGGTCACACCTCAAGAAAATAGAGAAACAAGAACAAACCAAACCCATACCCAGCAGAAGAATGGAAATAACCAAGATCAGAGCAGAACTAAATGAAATTGAAGCAAAAAAAAAAAAAATACAAAAGTTAAATGAAACAAGAAGCTGGTTCTTTGGAAAGGTAACTAAAATTGATAGATTGTTAGCAAGACTAACCAAGAAAAGAAGAGAGAAAATCTAAATAAGGTCAATAAGAAATGAAACAGGAGATATTACAACTGACACCACAGAAATGCAAAAGATCATACAAGGCTACAATGAACAACTTTATGTGCATAAACTAGAAAACCAAGAATAGATGAATAAATTCTTGGAAAGATACAACCTTCTTAGCTTAAATCAGGAAGAATTAGATACCCTGAACAGATGAAAAACAAGCAGAGAGATTGAAATGGTAATTCAAGAATTAACAACAATAAAAAAAAAATGTCCAGGACCAGATGGATTCACAGCTAAATTCTACCAGACATTCAAAGATAAATTGGTACCAATCCTATTGACACTATTCCACAAGATAGAGAAAGATGGAACCCCTCCCTAAATCATTCTATGAAGCCAGTATCACCCTAATACCAAAACCAGTAAAGGACATAACCAAAAAAGAAAATTACAGACCAATATCCCTGATGAACGTAGATGCTAAAATCCTTGACAAAATACTGTCTAACGAATCCAACAACATATCAAAAAGATAATTCATCACGAACAAGAGGGTTTTATACAGGGATGAAAGGATGATTTAACATACACAAGTCAATAAATATGATATACCACATAAACAGCATTAAAAACAAAAATCACATGATTATCTCCATAAATGCAGAAAAAAGCATTTGACAAAAATCCAGCATCCCTTTATGATTAAAACTCTCAGCAAAATTGACATACAAGGGACATACGTCAATATAATAAAAGCCATCTATGACAAACCCACAGTCAACATATACTGAAAGAGGAAAAAATGAAAGCATTCCCTCTGAGAACTGGAAGAAGACAAGGATGTTTACTCTCACCACTCCTCTTCAACACAGTACTGGAAGTCCTAGCCAGAGCAATCAGACAAGAGAAAGGAATAAAGAAAGGGCATCCAAATTAGTAAAGAGGAAGTCAAACTGTTGCTGTTTGCTGATGATTTGATCATTTACCTAGAAAACCCTAAAGACTGCTCCAGAAAGCTCCTAGAACTGATAAAAGAATTTAGCAAAGTTTCCAGATACAAAATTAGTGTACACAAATCAATAGCTCTTCTATACACCAAGACTGACCAAGCTGAAAATCAATCAAGAACTCAACCCCTTTTACAATAGCTGCAAAAAACATAAAATACTTAGGAATGTACCTAACCAAGGAGTCTAAAAACCTCTAAAGGAAAACTACGAAACACTGCTGAAAGAAATTGTAGATTTCTTTCAAACAAATGAAAACACATCCCTTGCTCATGGATGAGTAGAATCAATATTGTGAAAATGACCATATTGATAAAAGCAATCTACAAATTCAATGCAGTCTCCATCAGAATACCACCATCATTCTTCACAGAATTAGAAAAAAACAATTCTAAAATTCATATGGAACCAACAAAGGGCCCGCATAGCCAAAGGAAGACTAAGCAAAAAGTACAAATCTGGAGGCATCACATTACCTGATTTTAAACTATATTGTAAGGCTGTAGTCACCAAAACAGCGTGGTACTGGTATAAAAATAGGCACATAGACCAATGGAACAGAACAGAGAACACAAATAAACTCAAATGCTTACAGCCAACTGATCTTTGACAAAGCAAACAAAAACATAAAGTGGAGAAAGGACACCCTTTTCAAAAAATGATGCTGGGATAACTGGCTAGCCACATGTAGGAGAATGCAACTGGATCCTCATCTCTCACCTTATATAAAAATCATTCAAGATGGATTAAGGACTTAAATCTAAGACTTGAAACTATAAAAATCCTAGAAGATAACACTGGAAAACCCCTTCTAGACAATGGCTTAGGCAAAGATTTTATGACCAAGAACCCAAAAGCAAATGCAATAACAACAAAGATAAAATCCTGGGACTTAATTAAACTAAAGAGCTTTTGCACGGCAAAAGGAATAGTCAGCAGAGTTAACAGACAACCCACAGAGTGGGAAAAAGTCTTCACAATCTATACATCTGACAGAGGGCTAACATCCAGAATCTACAACGAACTCAAACAAATCAGCAAGAAAAAAAAATTCCATCAAAAAATGGGCTAAGGACATGAATAAACAATTCTCAAAAGAAGATATACAAATGACCAACAAACATATGAAAAAATGTTCAACATCACTAATAATCAGGGAAATGCAAATCAAACCACGATATGATACCACCTTACTCCAGCAAGAATGGCCATAATAAAAAAATCAGCAAATAGTAGATGTTGGCGTGGATGCAGTGGACAGGGCACACTTCTACACTGCTGGTGGGAATATAAACTATTACAACCACTATGGAGTACAGTGTGGAGATTCCTTAAAGAACTAAAAGTAGAACCACCATTTGATCCAGCAATCCCACTACTGGGTATCTACCCATAGGAAAGGGAGTCATTACACGAAAAAAATACTCATACATGCATGTTTATAGCAGCACAATTTGCAATTGCAATAATGTGGAGCCAACCCAAATGCCCATCAATCAATGAGTGGATAAAGAAACTGTGTGGGAGAGATATATATGTAATATTATATATATATATATATATATGATAGAATACTACTCAGCCATAAAAAGGAATGAATTAACTGCATTTACAGTGACCTGAATGAGGTTGGAGACTATTATTCTAAGTGAAGTAACTCAGGAATGGAAAAGCAAACATCCTACATTCTCACTCATAAGTGGGAGCTAAGCTATGAGGATGCAAAGGCATAAGAATGACACGATGGACTTTGGGGACTCAGGGGAAAGGGTGGGAAGGGGGTGAGGGATAAAAGACTACGAATAGGGTAAAGTGTGTACTGCTCAGGTGATGGGTGCACCAAAATTTCACAAATCACCACTAAAGAACTTACTCATGTAACCAAACACCACCTGTTCCCCCAATAACCTATGGAAATAAAAAAACAAGCATATCTCTGAAGATAAGCTACTGCAAGACCCTGGAGAAAATTTAAGAAAAATATTCTGCATGCCTCCCAGGATATAGGACATGGCACCTATATTTTTTAAAAAAGAAATGATATGGAATAAATCATGACACGTAAAACAGTAAGGTAGCTTTTGAGGGGAGTAGTTATTGGAAAGGAACATAAAAGGTGTTTCTGAAAGATTTTAAAAAAAGAAAACCAAATATCATATGTTCTCACTTATAAATGGGAGCTAAATGATTGCACACATGGACACAACAAGAGTAAGAACACACAATGGGGCCTGCTTGAAGGTGGAGAGTGGGAGGAGGGAGAGGAACTGAAAAAAGAACTATTGAGTACTAGGCTTAGTATCTCAGCGACAAAATAATCTGTACAACAAACCCACATGATGTGAGTACCTATATAACAAACCCTGAACATCTGCCCCTGAACCTAAAATAAAAGTTTTTTTAAAAAATATACTTTTTCTAACTAAGATGATACTATGTCCTCTTGCTTCTCCTCTTTCTTTCTGACTATCCTTTCCTTAGGTTTTAATTTACTATCTTACTATCTCACATATCCCCCTAAAGCTCAATACTTGGTCTTTAATGTAATTCTACATATTATATACATGAGTCAGTGTTTCATTATAACTGGAGAAATTAGCTTATCTTTCATATTTGTCGAACATCTACAAATAAATGTCTATTGCTAGAGGTTGGGGGTGAATCATTAAAATTCAGATTAAACCATTTAACATATCAGAACATAATTCTGATTCTTGTGTTAACAGCCTATATCATAATTGAACATGACAGGGCATCTAGTGTTTAAATATATTGATTGGATTTACCTTACAGTCTTTCATGTGAGAAGTAGATTATAATTTATCATAAGAATTTAGTTTCTGTTTGATATTAGCCACAAAAGCAAAATATTAACTAATGGATTATTGTATAGTTTATGTGCAAGGCAAGTTCCAGAATGTCATGAACATTTTAACTTAAAATATAACATGCTTTTTTTATACACGATATAATTGTACATGTTTATGGAGTACAATGTGATAGGTATATCCATACACATATACAATGTGTAATGATCAAATCAAGGTAATTAACATACCCATAACCTCAAACCATTATCATTTCTTTTTGTTGTGAAGATTCAAAACCATCTCTTTAGCTATTTAAAACTATATAATAAGTAATTGTTAACTATCATCATTCTATAGTGATATAGAACACTAGAATCCTATCTAGCTGTATTTTTTTATTTGTTAACCAACATCTCCTTATCCACTCTCCTCGCTACCCTTCCCAGGCTATAGTAACAACTATTCGAATCTCTACTTCCATGAACAACTTGTTTACCATAGAAATATTAAGTGAAAACATGGCATTTGTCTTTCTCTGCCTTATTTTACTTAACAGAAAGCCTTCAAGGTTTATCCATGTTGCCAACAGTGATATAATCCACTTTTTAATGAATTTTATTTATCCATTCATCTTTTGATGGAAACTGAGGTTGATTCCATCTTTGCTGTTGTGAATAGTGTTGCAATTAACATGGGAGTGCAGATATCTGTTTGACATACTGATTTCCTTTCTTTGGATGCATACCCAGTAGTGGGATTGCTGGATCATATGGTAGTTCTACTTTTAGTTTCTTGAAGAAAGTTCATACTGTTTTCCATAATGGGCATACTAATTTACATTTCTACCTGCAATGTATAAGAGTTTCCCTTTCTCTCCATCCTACTTAGAATCTGTTATTTTTGTTTTTTGTATAATAGCCATTCTAACTAGGATGAAATGATATGTCATTTTGGTTTTCATTTGCATTTTCCTGATTAATGATGTTGAGCATTTTTTTCATATACTTCTTGGCCATTTATAGGTATTTTTTCAGAAATTTTATTTATATCAGTGCCCATTTTGAAATCAGATTTTTTTCTTTTGAGTTGTTTAGGTTTCTTCTATATGGTAAATATTAAGCCCCTGTCAGATGAATTGTCTGCAAATATTTTCTCCCATTCTGCAGATTTCCTCTTCACTCCGGTGATTGTTACCTTTGCTGTGCAGATGTTTTTTAGTTTGTGTAATCCCATTTCTCTGTTTTTGCTTTTGTTACCTGTACTTTTAAGATCTTATTTATAAAATTTATAAAGTTTTTGCCCAGGCCAATGTCCTGCAGCATTTACTTTATGTTTTCTTCTAGTCATGTCACAGTTTTGGGTCTTACATGTAAGTCTTCAATGCATTTTGAGTTAATTTTTATATATAGGGAGAGATGGGGTGTAGTTTCATTCTTCTTCATGTGAATATCCCGTTTTTCCAGCAACATTTATTAAGACTGTCCCTTCCCCAGTGCATGTTCTTGGAGTATTTATCTGTCCATTGGCTGTAAATCTGTGGATTTATTTCTGTGTTCTCTAGTCTGTTATATTGGTCTATGTTTTCTTCTAGTCATTTCACAGTTTTGGGTCTTACATGTAAGTCTTCAACCCATTTCGAGTTAATTTTTATATATAGGGAGAGATGGGGTCTAGTTTCATTCTTCTTCATGTGGATATCCCGTTTTTCCAGCAACATTTATTAAGACTGTCCCATCCCCAGTGCATGTTCTTGGAGTATTTATCAGTCTGTTGGCTGTAAATCTGTGGATTTATTTCTGTGTTCCCTATTCTGTTCCATTGGTCTATGTATCTTTTATTATGTTGGTGCTATGTTGTTTTGGTTACTATAGCTTTTTAGAATATTTTAAAGTCAGGTGGTATGATGCCTCCAGCTTTGTTCTTTTGCTCAGGATCCCATTAGCCATTTGAAGTCTTTTGTGGTTTCCATATGAATTTTAGAATATTTTTTTATTTCTGTGAATCATGTTA
This sequence comes from Homo sapiens, assembly GCF_000001405.40. Taxonomy (NCBI): domain Eukaryota; kingdom Metazoa; phylum Chordata; class Mammalia; order Primates; family Hominidae; genus Homo; species Homo sapiens. The sequence goes on from NC_000003.12 coordinate 87,923,306, forward strand.
TTGGTATTTTAAGAGGGATCACATTGAATCTGCAGGTCTCTTGGGGGACATGATCATTTTAACAATCCATAAACACAAGATGTTTTTCCATTTTGGGGTCTTCATCAATTTCTTTCATCAGTGTTTCATAGTTTTTATCAGAGATTTTTTTGGTCCTTGATTAAATTCATTGCTAGATATTTTTGTAGCTATTATAAATGAAATTGCTTTCTTGTTTTTTTTAACTAGCTTGTTAGTGGTTTCTAGAAATGTTACTGATTTTTGAATGTTGATCTTGTACCCTGCAATGTTACTGATTTTTTCTCAGTTATAAGAGTTTATTGATGGAATCATATATGATCTTCATTGTTTTGAAGTATGTTTCTTTCAATACCTACTTTGTTAAGAGTTTTTATAATAAAAAGATATTAAATTTTAGCAAATGTTTTTTCTGCATCTGTTGAGAAGATTTATTTTTCTCCTTCCTTCTATTTATGTGATATATCACATTTATTGATTTGCATGTGTTGAACCAATCTTGCATCTTTGGGATATATCCAATTTGATCATGGTGTATACCATTTTTGAAGTGCTGTTGGATTTGGCTTGCTAGTATTTTGTTGAGGATGTTTGCATCTCTGTTCATTGAGGATATTGGCCTTTAGTTTTCTTTTTATTTTATGTCCTTGTCTAGTTTTGGTATCAGGGTAATGCTGGCCTTGTAGAATCAGTTTGGAAGCATTCTCAACTGTTTGATTTTTTGAAATAGTTTGAGAAATATTGGTAGTAGTTCTCCTTTAAAATTTTGGTAGGATTCAGCAATAAAGCCATTTGGTCCTGGGCTTTTCTTTTTTGGAAGACTTTTTATTAATGATTCAATCTCATTACATGTTCTTGGTCTCTTCAGGTTTTCTGTTTCTTCCTGTTCAGTGATGGTAAAATTGTATGTGTCCAGGAACTTACTCATTTCAACTAGGTTTACCAATTTGTTGATGCACGGGGAATTTAATGTTTACTTGTAAGGTTCTTATTGATAGGTTAAGACTTGTATAATTTCATTAATTATTTTTAGTTTGTTTTGCATAGCTTTTTTTCTTATTGCTTATCTTTGCAGTTTTGTGACTTTCTGTAGTGACACGATTTGATTCTTTTCTTTCTCAGTTGTATGTCTGTTCTACCAGTGAATTTTATATTCTCATGTGTTTTCATGATGGTAGTTATTGTCCTTTTGCTTCCAGATCTAAGAGTTTCTTAAGTATTTCTTGTAAGGCTGGCCTAGTGGTGACAAATTCCCTGTTTTTTCTTGTCTGGAAAAGACTATTTCTCCTTAGTTTCTGAAGGATAGCATTGCTGGGTACACTATTCTTGGCTGTCAGTATTTTTCTTTCAGCACTTTGAACATATTATCCATTGTCTCCTGGTATGTATGGTTTCTGCTGAGAAATCTGCTGTCAGTCTAATGAGGGTTCCTTCATACGTGATTTGATGCTTTTCTGTTGCTATTTCTAGAATTCTCTCTTTTGTCTTTTACTTGACAATTTGACTACAGTGTGCCTCAGAGAGGACATTTTGGGGTTCAATCTATTGCAGAATTTATTAGCTTCTTGGATCTGGATGTTTTTAACTCTCTCAAGACTTAGGAAATTTTCAGCTATTATGTTATTAAATAGGTTTACTATACTTTCTTAAATTTTTTTTTTATTTGTACTCTCTTCTCCTTGGAACTCTTATAATGCGAATATGGTGATCCCTAAGTCCCAAAGGTTTTATTCATTCTTTTTTTTTTGTCTCTTCATGATTTCTTCAGCTGTAATCAACATCAGTGGTAACTGTAAATGCTTCAGTGATCTAGATTGTGGGTGTTTGTTGAGGCAGCAGTGTGGCTTTGCTAAGGAATAGGACTGCTGAGCAAGCCAGTTCTTTGGCTCTGGAAGACTCCCTGGTCAAGGGATTGGGGCGACCAATGGTGGCAGATGCTGGGCAGAACAGTCCTTGGACTCTAGGGGGCACATACAACAGCTTATCTGGTTGTGGAGGCTGTTGTGGGTGCTGGGTGGTCAGTTCTTGGGTTCTAGGGGATGTCTTCTCAGTTACTTGGGTCTTGGAAATGACCTCCCAGCTGTACTGGACCACTTCTTTTTGGGGATGCAGGGCACTGTGTGGCCTTAAGTGCTGTGGTCACATTTGTACCACTGATCTAGCTGGGGTCATGGTGTTCTGGCCTTTGGCATGGGCATAGTGAAATAAAAGGAGGGTCTTGGGAATGTGGAGATGCAGGGGATCCCAGGTTACAATGCCCCATAACAGTGTCTCTGTTCTCAAAATAAAGTCATGCCATAGTAGTTTGCATCTTGGAGAGTAAGCAGGACCCTGCATGGGTTTCTTCTTTGGAGTAATGCAGCCACTTGGACTCCAGGGATCTTCTTATATGGCTCAGGGCCTGCATGGAGTGTGATCTTTTTCTGTAGCTATGATTGCAGGTATTGGTAGTGGTAATGGACACTGCTAGAGATCTCCCCTTTACCATTTCTCTACAATCTTGGCTTGGTGCTTTACTTCTCTCTCTATGCTGCCATATCGAGTTTTTGTACTTCAGAAGGCTGTGTTACTTCTTGCTGAATTCCAGTGTTCTCTCTTAGATACTTTACTTGAAATGTAGTTATGTATTTGTTGTTTTTGTCATTTCTTAGTGAAGAAAGATGAGCACTGGACACCTCCAATCAGCTATCTTGATGACATCCATTACTTACACTTTGCTTTTCCTAAAAGCAGATACATTTATTTCATATTTTAAGACATAGGCTTAAATCAATCTTTTTTACAGAAATGTAATTGTATTTACGTATTCACATGCTTTTGACATTACTGAAGTGAAAGTATGTCAGTGGATAAAGCTTGTATTAATAAGTCTTCTACCTTAAGTTATATACAAGGTCCTTTTAAAAAACACTCACTGCAGTTCATTCAGTGTTGACTCTCAAGTTTAATAGGGACTTTAGATTAACTAAATATTTTAGATCAGACAGTAGGATATGCACAGAGATAAAACTCCACTTGGAACATATCTTTATTATTTCACACTTGTCAGCACAGCATCATGTAGATGACTCTCCTATATGCTCCCATAGCATTCTATTTTTCTTTTTATCAGAACACTAATAATAGTCTAAAGATTCATTTATTTACATGTCCCCTAATCTGTGAGCCTATTTTGATGAGATATTGTTCATTAATCTTTGTATTTTAGACAAAGCATCAATGCCTAATACCTAGTAAATTTCAAAGAGATCAGTAAATGAAAAAGTATTATTAAATAACATTGATTACTTCTCTTTTAGTCCGTGGGAAAAATACTGCCCTCATATAGTGTATACTGAAAGATCGTTTTATACTGAAAGATCTTCAAGCTAGAAAAAAATCATTGACCTCTACTGGTAAGATTTATTGTCACTATACTCACTTGGGTTCATATTACTAAATTTTATAAAATGAAAAAAAATTGTTTCACTTAGGAAGAGTTGCTACCCACACATGTTCAGCAATCAGGACGACACGGTGATAGGTAAGGTATCCTGCTGTCTTCTCTTCTGAAGATTAATCAGTAACATATTTCTCCTCAGGATCTACTGAGAAATGTTAGTTAGTTAAAATGGCCCAGAATTAAGTCTGAGAATTCGGACAGGTGACAAGAAGGGCAACAATTGCTGCTTTGGTAGAATCTGCTGTCACTGCTTTGATGAAAAGAGAAAAAAATGACAGGGGAGTGGTGGAAAGCCACAGTCGAGGCTTTGTAGAGGACTCTCAGAAGACTTGCCCACACTCAGAGATTCCGACCTGTCAAACAAAAAACTAGTACCATGGTTATATGCCACAACTTAAGTGTAGATGATCACCAGTGAGTCTGCAAAAGATGTAGTTACAATAAGTGCCTGAAAAATAGCTGATGGGTTAAAAGACAGTTATGTCCTGGAGCACTAGAGAAGACTGTGAAAGAAAGGGAAAAACAATACCCTTAATGTTGATCACACGTTGTTTCATGTTGATTACAGAAAAATATTTATTCGTCTTAGTTTTAAATGTAAAGATAACTTCTTAATATTTTAAAAATATGCTCAGCAGTCCATATTTTGAATGTTCCCAGTGAAAAGAAGTGCACGTAATACAGATCCAGAAAATGTGTCTTAGAAAAATCAGGCTTCAATTGATCTCTACAGTCACACCAAAAAAATGTATATTATATTATTTGGGTTTCCTAAATGGTATATTATATTTAGAAATCTAAATAATCACATTTTATAGAGCTATCTTTATTTGAAAAATGAAAGAATAAAATGAATATGAACCTTTGTAATACAAATTTATTCTGGCATATCTTTCTAATCATTTGTACCACCTCTACAAATACCAATCAAATATCTCAACTAAATTATTGCATTTATTTATTTATGCAACACATACTTTTTCATGCCTACCTGTACAAAGCATAGTGCTAGTTACTGGAGATACACAAGTAAATAAGACAGATGCTATCATTCTTCTCACAGGGAACAGTACATAAATATTAATACTAGTTAAATAATTTTACGGAGGATGATTCTACAATGCATTAATTTTAAAGCTTTTAAAAATTTTTATATCAATGGTAATCAAGAAATGTGTAAATAAACTCCATTGGTGGCTTAATAAACTTAACAAATGATTTCATAAATCACTCTCTGTGCCTTAAATTACCTGTACTAATATCAATAGTTCAATATCTTTGCTTTTTTTTTTTTTTTTGAGACAGAGTCTTGCTCTGTCACCCAGGCTGGAGTGCAGTGGTGCAATCTCAGCTCACTGCAACCTCTGCTTCCCAGGTTCAAGTGACTCTCATGCCTCAACCTCCGAAGTAGCTGGGACTACAGGCATGCACCACCACACCTGGCTAATTTTTGTATTTTTAGTAGAGATGGGGTTTCACCACATTGGCCAGGCTGGTCTCAAACTCCTGTCCTCAAGTGATCCACCTGCCTTAGCCTCTCAAAGTGCTGGATTACAGGCACGAGCCACCACGCTAGGCCCTTAATTTACTTTCAACTGAAAAATATTTCACAAATGAAATTTGTGAATTGAACATTTTATTTGGACAGCTCTAGCATTTCTAAGTAATAGTATAGGTGATTTTGTATCACTTGTTCATATACTATTTTATATTTTTTATTTCATGACTATATATTATTTTCTGTGTCCCTAAAAATGAATATGTTCACTTACACAGACACATTCATTTGCACAATCTATGTAGCAGACCCAAGTCCTGCTATTTGCCATGGTGCATACATAATTATGTGAACCATTACTATCAATGCTGAAATGAACCACCTTCCGCAGCTTTTGATTCTCCTACTTTACGTTTTGGTTTTGGACCATTCATTCTATTATGTATCCATTTGTCTTTTATTAGCTTACTTTTATTTCTACAAGATAACACAGAAACTAAGCAAGACCACTGATAAACAGGAGAAGAAAAGGAAAACACTAACTTTTAAAGAGAGAAAAAGAAATATACATTTTGTGTGTAAGGGTACAACATTTCAGTTCCAGTGTAATCCAGGTACCAAGAAAGCCATCAGTGAAAAAGAGCTGTCTGAGTCTAAAAGCTAGTCTAAGCAACTCAACTGGTGATAATGTGATAAGGGCATATCCATTTTTATTTTCAAGAAGGTAGTGTGTTAGTTTGGAGAAATGAGACATTTTTCTCTTCACATCACCTGTCAGCTGGAGGTAAAAAAGGATATAAAGTATGACAGATTTACATTTGATGAGTAAGAAATTAAGTCTAACAGGAATTAGCTATTGTCTGGAAACAAATTTCAACAGTTAAGATGTTCCCCCCTTACATGATGTTGGTAGCTGCAGTGAGTGTAAAAGTAACCAACAGCCAAGAACAGAAAGCACATGGCACCTGGCATGTCACTAGTAGAGAAAATGCAGTGGTTCTCAGCAAAACAGTTATGAAGTTCTTCATCAGGGCAGAGCCTCTTTCCGTTGCTGGCTCCACAGTAATATAATTGTATACAAGCACCATACAACGTATATGGCAACCAGATTACTTATATATGGTTTTACCTATTTTCAGATGAAAATCAGCTTCAAAATTTACTAGCTGTTTAACCTTGAACAATTCACTTAACTTCTCTGTATTGGGAATAGTAATAATAGGATATAATTTATAGATTCAAGTTTCTGCATATGGGTAGCCAGTTATCCCAGCATCATTTATTGAATAAGAGGTTGTGTCCCCATTAATCATTTTTGTCAACTTTGTGGAAGATCAGATGGTTGTAAATGTGTAGACCTATTTCTGGGCTCTCTACTCAGTTCCATTGGTCTATGTGTCTGTTCTTGTAGCAGGACCATGCTGTTTTGGTTACTGTAGCCTTGTAAGATAGTTTGATATCAGGTAACATCATGCCTCCAGCTTTGCTCTTTTTGCTTAGGATTATCTTGGCTATTTGGGCTCTTTTTGGGCTCCATATGAATTTTAAAATAGTTTTTTCTAGTTCTTTGAAGAATGTCCTTGCTAGATTGATAGGAGTAGCATTGGATCTACAGATTGCTTTGAGCAGTATGGCCAGTTTAATAATACTGATTCTTTCTACCCATGAGCATGAAATGTTTTTCCATTTGTTTCTATCGTCTCTGATTTCTTTGAGCAGTGTTTTGTAGTTCTACTTGCAGAGATCTTTCACCTCCCTGGTTAGCTGTAATCCTAGGTATTTTATCCTTTTGAGATTGCCTTTCTGATTTGGCTCTCAGCTTGGCTGTTGCTATTGTATAGGAATGCTAGTGATTTTTAGACATTGATTTTGTATCCTGAGACTTTGCTGAAGTTGTTGATCAGCTTAAGAAGCTTTTGGGCTTGGACTATGGTGTTTTCTAGATATAGAATAGTGTCATCTGCAAACAGTGATAGTTTGACTTCCTGTCTTCCTATTTGATGCCCTCTGTTTCTTTCTTTTGCCTGATTGCTCTGTCCAGGACTTCCAATACTATGTTGAATATGAGTGGTGAGAGAGGGCATCCTTGTCTTGTGCTGGTTTTCAAGGGAAATGCTTCCAGCTTTTGCCCATTTGGTAAGATGTTGGCTGTGGGTTTGTCATAGGTGGCTCTTAATGTTTTGAGGTATGTTCCTGCAATACCCAGTCTATTGAGAGTTTTTAATGTGAAACGATGTTGAATTTTATCAAAAACCTTTTCTGCATCTACTGAGAGACAATCATATGGTTTTTGTTTTTAGTTCTGTGTATGTGATGAATCATATTTATTGATTTGTGTATGTTGTACCAACTTTGCATCCCTGGGGTGAAGTCTACTTGATTATGGTGAATAAACTTTTTTATGTGCTTCTGGATTCAGCTTGCCAGTATTTTGTTGAGGATTTTTGCACTTTATAGACTTGGTGAGGATTAAATGAATCAATCATATATGTAAAATATGAACAGTGCCTAACACATAATTATCGCTATATACATATGAGCTACTACTACTATTTGTTTACATACATACCTATACATATACATTTATTTACATACACACCTACACATATTGTTGATGTTTTACAAGAACAGAATTATATTACACACTTTTACACATCTCAGTTTTTCATTCAATAAGTGAATAAAACCTTCTGGAAATTCCTCCAGCTCAAATAACTCTATGTCATTCTTTTCAACAACAGCATACTGTGCCATAGTCTTTCCTTTTTTTTTTTTTTTTTTTTACTTTTTTTATTGTTATTATTATACTTTAAGTTTTAGCATACATGTGCACAATGTGCAGGTTACATATGTATACATGTGCCATGCTGGTGTGCTGCACCCATTAACTCATCATTTAGCATTAGGTATATCCCCTAATGCTATCACTCCCCCCTCCCCCAACCCCACAACAGTCCCCAGAGGGTGATGTTCCCCTTCCTGTGTCCATGTGTTCTCATTGTTCAATTCCCATCTATGAGTGAGAACATGCGGTGTTTGGTTTTTTGTCCTTGTGATAGTTTACTTAGAATGATGATTTCCAATTTCATCCATGTCCCTACAAAGGACGTGAACTCATCATTTCTTATGGCTGCATAGTATTCCATGGTGTATATGTGCCACATTTTCTTAATCCAGTCTATCATTGTTGGACATTTGGGTTGGTTCCAAGTCTTTGCTATTGTGAATAGTGCTGCAATAAACATACGTGTGCATGTGTCTTTATAGCAGCATGATTTATAGTCCATTGGGTATATACCCAGTAATGGGATGGCTGGATCAAATGGTATATCTAGTTCTAGATCCCTGAGGAATCGCCACACTGACTTCCACAATGGTTGAACTAGTTTACAGTCCCACCAACAGTGTAAAAGTGTTCCTATTTCTGCACATCCTCTCCAGCAGCTGTTGTTTCCTGATTTTTAATGATTGGCATTCTAACTGGTGTGAGATGGTATCTCATAGTGGTTTTGATTTGCATTTCTCTGATGGCCAGTGATGGTGAGCATTTCTTCATGTGTCTTTTGGCTGCATAAATGTCTTCTTTTGAGAAGTGTCTGTTCATATCCTTTGCCCACTTTTTGATGGGGTTGTTTTTTTCTTGTAAATTTGTTTGAGTTCATTGTAGATTCTGGATATTAGCCCTTTGTCAGATGAGTGGGTTGCAAAAATTTTCTCCCATTCTGTAGGTTGCCTGTTCACTCTGATGGTAGTTTCTTTTGCTGTGCAGAAGCTCTCTAGTTTAACTAGATCCCATTTGTCAGTTTTGGCTTTTGTTGCCATTGCTTTTGGTGTTTTAGACATGAAGTCCTTACCCATGCCTATGTCCTGAATGGTAATGCCTAGGTTTTCTTCTAGGGTTTTTATGGTTTTAGGTCTAACATTTAAGTCTTTAATCCATCTTGAATTAATTTTTGTATAAGGTGTAAGGAAGGGATCCAGTTTCAGCCTTCTACATATGGCTAGCCAGTTTTCCCAGCACCATTTATTAAATAGGGAATCCTTTCCCTATTTCTTGTTTTTCTCAGGTTTGTCAAAGATCAGATAGTTGTAGATATGCAGCGTTATTTCTGAGGGATCCATTCTGTTCCATTGATCTATATCTCTGTTTTGGTACCAGTACCATGCTGTTTGGGTTACTGTAGCCTTGTAGTATAGTTTGAAGACGGGTAGTGTGATGCCTCCAGCTTTGTTCTTTTGGCTTAGGATTGACTTGGCAATGTGGGCTCTTTTTTGGTTCCATATGAACTTTAAAGTAGTTTTTTCCAATTCTGTGAAGAAAGTCATTGGTAGCTTGATGGGGATGGCAAAAAATTCCTCAACACATACACTCTCCCAAGACTAAACCAGGAAGAAGTTGAATCTCTGAATAGACTAATAACAGGATCTGAAATTGTGGCAATAATCAATAGCTTACCAACCAAAAAGAGTCCAGGACCAGATGGACTCACAGCCGAATTCTACCAGAGGTACAAGGAGGAGATGGTACCATTCCTTCTAAAGCTATTCCAATCAATAGAAAAAGAGGGAATCCTCCCTAACTCATTTTATGAGGCCAGCATCATCCTGATACCAAAGCCAGGCAGAGACACAACCAAAAAAGAGAATTTTAGACCAATATCCTTGATGAACATTGATGCAAAAATCCTCAATAAAATACTGGCAAACCAAATCCAGCAGCACATCAAAAAGCTTATCCACCATGATCAAGTGGGCTTCATCCCTGGGATGCAAGGCTGGTTCAATATATGCAAATCAATAAATGTAATCCAGCATATAAACAGAACCAAAGACAAAAACCACATGATTATCTCAATAGATGCAGAAAAGGCCTTTCACAAAATTCAACAACCCTTCATGCTAAAAACTCTCAATAAATTAGGTATTGATTGGATGTATCTCAAAATAATAAGAGCTATCTATGACAAACCCACAGCCAATATCATACTGAATGGGCAAAAACTGGAAGCATTCCCTTTGAAAACTGGCACAAGACAGGGATGCCCTCTCTCACCACTCCTATTCAACATAGTGTTGGAAGTTCTGGCCAGGGCAATTAGGCAGGAGAAGGAAATAAAGGGTATTCAATTAGGAAAAGAGGAAGTCAAATCGTCCCTCTTTGCAGACGACATGATTGTATATCTAGAAAACCCCATTGTCTAAGCTCAAAATCTCCTTAAGCTGATAAGCAACTTCAGCAAAGTCTCAGGATATAAAATCAATGTACAAAAATCACAAGCATTATTATACACCAATAACAGACAAACAGAGAGCCAAATCATGAGTGAACTCCCATTCACAATTGCTTCAAAGAGAATAAAATACTTAGGAATCCAACTTGCAAGGGACATGAAGGACCTCTTCAAGGAGAATTACAAACCACTGCTCAATGAAATAAAAGAGGATACAAAGAAATGGAAGAACATTCCATGCTCATGGGTAGGAAGAATCAATATTATGAAAATGGCCATACTGCCCAAGGTAATATATACATTCAATGCCATAGTCTTTCTTTAAACTAACACATAAAGAGATTAATTCCATTCCAGGTTTTTGAAAGTCATGGGCAGTAGCATGCTCTGCCAAGATACTTTCCAGCCTATAATGAGAAGATAAGACTCCCTGGGATCAGCCTATACATGTATTCCATTGGCATCATTTTCTATATTGCCACCTTAAATTTCTATTGGTCAGCTTTTCCAGTCCCTGGGAAAACTGTTCCTGCTGTATGTCACTTCATAATATCTGGTTCGTCTTTGGCCCACATTCCTAGTCTTCCTCCCCATACTTCCTTCTAATTTGCAAGCTATTCATCAGTGAGCTATCTTGACCTACTCGAACCCCTGTACAGTAACTGTTAATCAAAGCATATCAAGAAAACACTAGTGAAGTAACAGTAACAGAGAAAGAATGAAAGAGAAAGATGGTGTGAAAAATAACAGTAAGGGTTAACACATGCTAAGAGTTTAACATTGCCAAGCACTGTGCAAAGTTGTAGCATACACTGTTGGTGTTCCACCTTAATCCTGTCATATCACTAATACCCACCCTCTGTCCCCATTCCAACAGTCCATATCTATGACTCTCCATGGAGGACTGCCCTTGACCACCTGGAACTGCTTTGTCTCTGTAAAAAGAACCAGAAGTGCTTGGGAGTTTTTATTCCCTGATATCAAGGCAAAATCTAATGACTGGCTAGTGCAGTCATGAAACCCCAGCTCCTGTGCATCAGTCATGACTATTCTAAGGTGCTATTTAGGGTCATGCAGAAACTATCTTCAGTGGGACTTTACAAGAAGTCACTCCTTTGCTTGACTTCATCTCTGACTCCTTTGTTGATTTCTCCCAAGATGACTTCAACAATCACTTCCAGGCAAATCTTCATTCCAGGATCTGTCTCTGAGCAATCAAACATAAGACTGAAGCATTTTGCAATGCTGTATCTCTTGTAATCTTCACATCACCCCCAAGAGGGAAGCTAAGCAATTTACCTCACAGCCTAAGAAGTACGGAGTTGCATTAAAAATTCAGAATGTCTGAATTTAAAGCTTATACTCTTAACTGTTTTTGATTTTCATTTTGAGACAGAGTCTCACTTTGTCACCCAAGCTAGAGTGCAGTGGCATCATCACAGCTCACTGCAGCCTTGACCTTCTGGGCTCAAGTGATCCTCCCACCCCAGCCTCACAAGTAGCTGGGACCAAAGTCCCGTTCCACCAGACCCAACTAATTTTCTTCATTTGTTTGTAGAAACAAGGTCTCACTACATTGCCCAGGCTGGTCTTGAATCCCTGGAATCAAGTGATCCTCCTGACTTGGCCTCCCAAAGTGCTGGGATTACAGGTGTGAACCACCATCTCTGGTTCTTAACGGTTACTTCACAAAAGCTGGACTCTAAAGGCAGAGACAACAACGTGAGAAGTACTAACAAGGCCCCAAAAATGAAGAGAAAAAGGAGAGGGAGTGTGGGTAGCATGCTACTTCCTCCATACTCCCATCATTGTCTCTCACCAACAGGTTCTATTGTTGGTGACTCTGCATTGCATTGACTGCTCTTTAAGAGTCAATTTCACTCTTCTTTCCTCTCAAAGGAGAGCAGGCAACTTTTTTTTCCCCAGTTTTTACCTAAATAATTCCACCAGGGTGAGGCTTCTGCAAGTGTCTTATCCTCATTAAAGATCTTCCACTAAATGAGAAACAAAGAAAAAAAAAAAAGGTCTTCCGCTAAATGAAACTGCTTCACTCAGCTGAAAGACCTACCTCCAAAATTGGAAATCAACTACTTGAAAATTCTAACTGGATTAAATTTTCTATCTAATGTACTCAAATTAAAATTTAAAGTTGAGAATAATCTAAAAACAAACCATTTCACTGTTTCATTAAGTTTCCATTTTGTTGAAAAATATTCTGAAATCATAAAATTATGAGAGGTTTTATTTAACATCTCTGTGTTAGAAGTTTATTTAATGGGCTGCAAGTGAAATGCTTTGGAAAAAGAAATTATTTCTTCTGAAAAAAAAAATTTGGCTTAATAACATTTCCCCACATTTTTAGGATTTTTTTTTTTAGATGGAGTCTCGCTCTGTCACCCAGGCTGGAGTGCAGTGGCATGATCTCGGCTCACTGCAACCTCCACCTTCTGGGTTCAAGCGATCCTCCTGCCTCAGCCTCCTGAGTAGCTGGGACTACAGGCGCCCACCACTACATCTGGCTAATTTTTCTATATTTGTAGAGATGGGATTTCACCATGTTGGCCAGGCTGGTCTCAAACTCCTGACCTCAAGTGATCCTCCCACCTTGGCCTCCCAAAGTGCTGGGATTACAGGCGTGAGCCACTGCACCTAGCCTATTTTTAGGATTTTTAAATATTTGCTGATGCCTTCAGTCTATCACACACTCCAAATAATATATTTATACTTTGAGAAGTTTTACACAAGAATAATTTTCTAAAAGAATACAATTGTGCATTCAGTATGCTAAAATTAAGTCTTTGTCTTGTAACTTTTTAAATATAGGAAGTTAAGCAAAGATTTGTAAATGGCACTATAGAATACAATTGTGTTCAACTGAAAGATTAATAATTTTGCTTTCTTCCTCTGAGCCACTTGAGTCTCCACGACTGCTTTAGGATTTATCTTTTTAAAAACTTTATCATCTAGTTATTAACCACATTGCAGAATACAATAAACATTTAATTTTTTAATAAATGAATAAATAAATTAGAAAAAGATAATTTTTATAACACTCCAATAAGATACCACAGACTGGAGGTAAAATCTGTGATGTTTCTGACCACGGTTTCAGCAAAAGATAAGATGGTAAATTATAAAATATAAAATAAGAGCTAGAGTGAACTTTGGAGCACAACAATCTATAATTTAGTTGATTTCATACATTAAATCACGGAGCATAAACAACTGAAATATTTTGTTTGGGGATTCAGGACAGCCAGAGCTCTTAGTAGCAAGCCTGTTTACTACCCACTAGGAGATTTACACACACAAGTCCATTCATTTGACTGAGATACTCATTTCATCTCTAAACACCTCTATGCACACAAACTAGAAAATCTAGAAGAGACAAAGAAATTCCTAGACTCTACACCATCTCAAGACTGAACCAAGAAGAAATTGATTCCCTGAACAGACCAATAATGAGCTCCAAAACTGAATAAAAATAAATAGCCTACCAACCAAAAAAATCCCAGAACCGGATAGATCCATAGCCAAATTCTACTAGATGTACAAAGAAGAGCTGGTACCATCCCTGTTGAAACTACCCAAAAAAAAAAAAAAAAAGAGGACGGACTCCTCCCCAACTCATTCTATGAGGCCAGCATCATCCTGATACCAAAACCTGCCAGAGACCAACAAAAAGAGAAAACTTCAAGCCAATATCCTTGGTAAACATTGATGCAAAAATCCTCAACAAAATACTTGCAAACTGAATCCAGCAACACATTAAACACCGTGATCAAGTAGGCTTCATCCCAGGGATGCAAGTTTGGTACAATATACACAAATCAATAAATATGATCCATTAGGTAAACAGAACTAAAAACAAAACGACATGATTGTCTCAGTAGATGCAGAAAAGGCTTTTGATAAAATTCGACATTCCTCCATGTGAGAATGTCTAAACTGGGTATTGAAGGAACATATTTCAAAATAATAACAGCCATCTATGACAAACCCACAGCCAACATCATACCAAATGGGCAAAAGCTGGAAGTGTTCCCCCTGAAAACCAGCACAAGACAAAGATGACCTCTCTCACCACTGCTATTCAACATAGTACTGGAAGTCCTCACCAGAGCAATCAGGTAAAAGAAAGAAATAGGGCCAGGCGCAGTGGCTCACGCCTGTAATCCCAGCACTTTGGGAGGATGAGGCAGGAGGATCACAAGGTCAGGAGATCAAGACCATCCTGGCTAACACAGTGAAACCCCGTCTCTACTAAAAACACAAAAAAATCAGCTGGGCATGGTGGTGGGTGCCTGTAGTCCCAGCTACTCAGGAGACTGAGGCAGGAGAATCGCTTGAACCCAGGAGGCAGAGGTTGCAGTGAGCCGAGATCGTGCCACTGCACTCCAGCTTGGGCAATAGAGCGAGACTCCATCTCAAAAGAAAAAAAAAAAAAAAGAAGAAAGAAAGAAAGAAATAGAAGGCATCAAATAGGAAGAGAGGAAGTCAAACTATCACTGTTTGCAGATGACATGATTCTATATGTAGACAGTCCCACAGTGTAAGCCCAAAGCTTCTTAAGCTGATAAACAACTTCACCAAAGTCTCAGTACACAAAAATCAATGTGAAAAAAGTAACTAACATTCCTATACACCAACAACAGGCAAGCAGAGAGCCAAATCAGGAACACAGTCCCGTTCACAATTGGCAAAAAGGATAAAGTACCTAGGAATACAGCTAACTAGGGAGGTGAAAGATCTCTATCTAAGTAGAACTACAAAACTGCTCAAAGAAATCGGAGATGATACAAACAAATGGAAAAACATTCCACGCTCATGGGTATAAAAAATCAGTATCATTAAACTGGCCATACTGCTCAAAGCAATTTATACATCCAGTGCTATTCCCATCAATCTACCAATGACATTCTTCATGGAACTAGAAGAAACTATTTTAAAATTCATATGGAGCCTAAAAAGCACCTTAATAGCCAAGAGAATCCTAAGCAAAAAGACCAAAGCAAGCAGCATCACCTTACCTGACTTCAAACTATACTACAAGGCTACAGTAATTAAAATAGCATGGTACTGGTACAAAAACTGACACATAGACAAATGGAAGAAAATAGAGAGCCTAGAAGTAAGGCTGCACACCTAAGACCATCTAATATTTAACAAAAGTGACAAAAACAAGAAATGGGGAAAGGACTCCCTATTCAATAAATGATGCTGGGACAACTGGCTAGCCATATGCGGAAGATTGAAACTGGACCCCTTCCTTACCCCATGTACAAAAATCAACTCAAGATGGATTAAAGACTTAAATATAAAACCTAAAACTATAAAAACCTGGAAGACAACCTAGCCAATATTATCCTAGACATAGGAACAGGCAAAGATTTCACTACAAAGACACCAAAAGCAATCACAACGAAAGCAAAAATTGACATATGGATCTAAACTTAAGAGCTTCTGCACAGCAAAATAAACTATCAACAGAGTAAGCAAATAACCTACAGAAAATATTTGCAAACTATGCATCTGACAAAGATCTAATATCCAGCATCCATAAGGAACTTAAACAAATTTACAAGAGAAAAACAACCCCATCAAAAAGTGGGCATTTCTGCATCTATTGAGATAATCGTGTAGTTTTTGTCATTGGTTCTCTTTATGTGACGGATTACATTTATTGGTTTGTGTATTTTGAACCAGCCTTGCATCATAGGGATGAAGCTGACTTGATTGTGGTGGATAAGCTTTTTGATGTGCTACTGGATTTGGTTGGCCAGTATTTTATTAAGGATTTTCGCGTTGATGTTCATCAGGGATATTGGCCTGAAATTTTCTGTTTTTTGTTGTGTCTCTGCCAGGTTTTGATATCAGGACGATGCTGGCCTCATAAAATGAGTTAGGGAGGAGTCCCTCTTTCTCTATTGTTTGGAATAATTTCAGAAGGAATGGTACCAGCTCCTCTTGTACCTCTAGTAGAATCCAGCTGTAAATCCATCTGGTCCTGGGCTTTTTTTGGTTGGTAGGCTATTAATTACTGCCTCAATTTCAGAACTTGATACTGGTCTGTTCAGGATTCGACTTCTTCCTGCTTTGGTCTTGGGAGAGTGTACGTGTCCAGGAATTTATCTATTTCTTCTAGATTTTCTAGTTTATTTGCATAGAGGTATTCTCGGATAGTAGTTTGTATTTCTGTGGGATCAGTGGTCATATCCCCTTTGTCATTTTTTATTGTGTCTAATTGATTCTTCTCTCTTTTCTTCTTGATTAGTCTGCTAACAGTCTATCTATTTTGACAATCTTTTCACAAAACCAGCTCCTGGATTCATTGACTTTTTTGAAGGGTTTTTCATGTCTCTATCTCCTTCAGTTCTTCTCTGATCTTAGTTATTTCTTGTCTTCTGCTAGCTTTTGAATTTGTCTGCTCTTGCTTCTCTAGTTCTTTTAATTGTAATGTTAGGGTGATGATTTTAGATCTTTCCTGCATTCTCCTGTGAGCATGTAGTGCTATAAATTTCCCTCTAAACACTGCTTTAGATGTGTCCCAGAGATTCTGGTACATTGTGTCTTTGTTCTCATTGGTTTCAAAGAACTTATTTATTTCTGCCTTAATTTTGTTATTTACCCAGTAGTCATTCAGGAGCAGGTTGTTCAGTTTCCATGTAGTTGTGCAGTTTTGAGAGAGTCTCTTAATTCTGAGTTCTAATTTGATTGCACTGTGATCTGCGAGACTGTTTGTTATGATTTCCATTCTTTTGCCATTTGCTGAGGAGTGTTTTAAAGGCCTTCGATAAAACTCAACACCCCTTTATTCCAAAATCAATGTGCAAAAATCACAAGCATTCCTATACACAAATAATAGACAAACAGGGAGCCAAATCATAAGTGCATTCCCATTCACAGTTGCTAAAAAGAGAATAAAATACCTAGGAATACAACTTACAAGGGATGTGAAGGACCTCTTCGAAGAGAACCACAAATCCTTGCTCAAGGAAATAAGAGAGGACACAAACAATTGGAAGAATATTCCATGCTCATGGATGGGAAGAATCAATATCACGAAAATATAGAATCAATGCCATCCCCATCAAGCTACCATTGACTTTCTTCACAGAATTAGGAAAAACTACTTTAAATTTCTTATGGAACCAAAAAAGAGCCCATATAGCCAAGACACTCGTAAGCAAAAACAACAAAGCTGGAGGCATCATGCTACCTTCAAACTGTACTACAAGGCTGCAGTAACCAAAACAGCATGGTACTGGTACCACAACAGACATATGGACCAATGGAACATGGGGATTTACGATTTTAGTTACTTTCCTCATGGTTGTCTGACAGCCACAAGTCTCCTATAGCAGTGAGTATGCCATTCATATCATGAGATGTCCACACAGTAAGATCTCTTCCCTGTATTATTTTAACTGCTTCAGACACTAAGACTGCTACTGCCGCCACTACCTGTAAACAATGAGGCCAACCCTTTGCCACTACATCAATTTCCTTACTCAGGTAGGCCATGGGTTGCAAGCTCGTCCTTTGGACCTGTGTAAGGACTCCTAGAGGTATTCCTGCTTTTTTCTGTGACATATAAAGAAGTCTTGCCTTGTTGGCAAGTTTAACACTGGGGCTTGGGTTAGGGCCTTCTTTAGGGCCTGGAAAGCTGCTTCTTCTGCTTCAGGTGTCCATCTTACTAAATGGGTATTGGCTTTCTGAGTTTTCTTAATCAGTGTATATAATGGTCTGGTTATTTTACCATACCTGGGAATCCATATTGGGCAGAAGCCTGTAATGCCAAGGAACCCTCTTAGTTGCTTTAGGGTTTTGGGATGAGCATAAGCCAGTATAGGCTGGATACGATCCTCACGGAGGGCCCTGGTGCCTTTGGGTAATTTTGGCCCTAAGTATTTAACCTGCTGTAAGCAGAGCTGAGCCTTTGGTTTGGAAACCTTGTAGCCACAGGTAGAGAGGAAATTTAAGAGCGCTTGGGTGGCTTGATGGCACAAGGTTTCTGAACAGGCGGCTAAAAGTAACTTAGCCCCGTACTGAAGGACAAGAGAGTCCAGGTATGAGAACTGGCTCAAGTCTTGGGATAATGCCTGGCCAAATAGATGGAGGCTATCCCTGACCCTTGGAGTAAAACCGTCCAGGTGAGTTGAGACGTTGGGTTTGAAGGATCTTCAAAGGTAAACAAGAATTGAGAGTCAGGATGTACAGGGATGCAGAAAAAGGCATCTTTAAGGTTCAGGACTATAAACCACTCTGCTTCCTCTGCTATTTGGGAAAGCAGAGTACAAGGGTTAGGCATAGCTGGGTATAGAGGGACAATGGCCTCACTGATAATCCTGAGATCTTGCACTAACCTCCACTGTCCATTGGGTTTCTGTACTCCTAAAATTGGAGTATTGCAGGGGCTATTGCATGGTTTTACTAGGCCTTGGGCTTTTAGGTCCTTAATCTTTTGGAGTCCTTGTTGGGCCTCGGGTCTAAGGGGGTACTGCCTTTGGTAGGGAAAGGAGGCAGAATCCTTTAGTTCAACTTGAACAAGATGGGCATTCTTTGCTCGTCCATATTGTCCTCCTGTTGCCCAGACTTCAGGATTAATTCCTTCCTCAAGCAGGGGACAACAAATGGGTGTTCCTTCTCCTATGTTCAGGTGTATTATGGCCCCTGCTTTTGCTAGAATGCCTCTCCCTAACAAGGGAGTGGGGCTTTCAGGCATAATTAGAAAAGCATTTGAAAAGAGTAAAGTTCCCCAGTCACAACTTAGTGGCTGGGGGAAGTATCTAGTGACTGGCTGTCCTAGGACCCCTCAGATAGTGACAGATCTGGAGGACAGTTGTCCGGGACAGGAGAGTAAGACTGAGAAGGCCGCACCTGTGTCCAGGAGACAGTTAACCTCCTGGCCCTCAATGGTCAAGCATACCCGGGGCTCTGTGAGGGTGACGGCATCGGCTGGCGCTTGCCCCGGGCACCCTCAGTCCTGCTGCTGGATCATCTGGTTAGTGGCTTCTGACTCAGAGGACTTTTGTCCCCTGGGGCAGTGGGCCTTCCAGTGACTCCCTTGACATAAGGGGCTTGGATGAGGGGGTGGCTTATTTCTACTTGGATAATCTTTTTTAAAGTGGCCTTGTAGACCGCACTGGAAGCAAGCCCTATTAGGCATTCAATTTGCCCAGCTTTTCCCTTTACCAGGGCCTCCAAAGTCCACTTGCCTGAGGGCCATGACTAAAGCGGTGGCCTTTTTTTTTTTTATCCTGTTTGTCCTATTCCACCTGCTCCTCCTGATCTCTATTATAAAAAACCCAGGTTACCAAGTTCAACAGGGTTTCTAAGTTTTGCTCTGGGCGTAAGGCAGACTTTTGAAGTTTTTTAATGTCTGCAGCTGACTGAGTGATAAACTTATCCTTTAAGATTAGTTGGCCTTCAATAGAATCAGGTGACAGAGAGGTATGCTTCCTCAATGCCTCCCTTAGTCTCTCCAGAAAGGCAGTAGGATTTTCTTCCTTGCCCTGTGTTATAGTGGACATCATTGAATAATTCATAGGCTTCTTCCTAGTTTTCCTTAGTCCTCCTAGCACGCAAGTTAGCAAATGTCTGCAGCACCAATCTCCATGTTCTGATTCTGTGTCTCAGTGAGGGTCTACACTGGCAACTGCCTGCTGGCCTGTGGGGAATCGTTCTCTTTCTTCT
This sequence comes from Homo sapiens, assembly GCF_000001405.40. NCBI lineage: Eukaryota > Metazoa > Chordata > Mammalia > Primates > Hominidae > Homo > Homo sapiens. The sequence continues at coordinate 87,943,191 of NC_000003.12, forward strand.
GTTGTCATCCTATCATTGACCTGACTGAGTGAGATACCAGAGATCGCCAAACTCTCAGGCTGCAGTTATGGCGACACTTCTCTCATTTGGGGTTAGTGTCTGATTTAGCAGTAACATTATATCTCTCCATGTCAGATCAAAGGATTGTCCTAACCCTTGTAAAACATCAATATAGCCATCAGGGTTATCTGAGAATTTACCTAGGTCTATTTTAATTTGCTTTAAGTTCGAGAGAGAAAAAGGTACATGCACTCTGGCTGGGCCAAATTCTCCTCTCTCACTGCTTGGAGGGGGCATAATCGGGGAATATTGGCACTCTTTGGTTACCCCTTTGTCTATCTCTTTTTGGACCATTTGGGTTGAAGGGGGGTCCTTATTAGTTGGGGAAGGAGTTGGGGGGATGCTGGGGTAGGGAGGTAGACTCTGAGGGCTTCCTATAGGGCATAAATCACACTTTTTACATAATTGCGAGTTGTCTCTTAATGAAAAGAAAGTTTGTACATATGGCACTTCAATCCATTTGCCTTCTTTTCTACAAAAGAGGTCTAGCTGTAAGATGGTGTTATAATTTATACTTCCCTCAGGAGGCCGGGTTTCTCCCCCTTGAAGAGGATATCATGGCCAGGCGGTACTGCAGAAGAATATAAATCATTTCTTTCTTAGCCTGTGAGGGTCAAATTGATCCCAGTTCTCCAGAATACATCTTAGGGGCGTTTTTGCCTTGGGGGGAACATTTCCCATCTGAAAAAAGAACATAGGGATGCCAGCACCCCTAGTCATTTTCCGATGAGCATTAGTACTAGAGCCCCCTCTGTGGTCCTAATGCTTATTCCTTTCCAGGGTGCGTAACCACCCATGGACCTCTGCTTATCAGATTAGTTATGCTCACCAATGTAGTAGTCCTGCACCTGTTTTTCCACCTTCCTTGACCACAAAGAAAGGGGTCTGGGCTGCTGGATTCTAGTGGTCCTTTACTAGTGTGCCCAACATTGCCTTTGTGCTCAGGGGTGAGTCCTAGAGCTGGACTGGGTTCCAGAGTATTTCATAACCCAGCTCCCCATCAAGATGCATTCCCATAAGCAACAGTTCTTATGCAAATTCATTTCAGAGAGGATGTAGGTAACCTTTTGAGTCAGGATTGAGATAGTCTTTTTTGATTCTGTAAGTACTTTAAGGCTTGGCTGAGTGCAAACAGCTCCCACTTTTGAGGAGACCAATTATTAAGCAATTTTTCTAACTCTGCTTCCACAAGAGTCTCCTATCAATTACTGAATACCCATTGTGGTTTTTTCCTCAACCACTTGGGAGGAACCATCTATCGTCCTGTCCTGAAGGGAGTTCCTCCTAGGTCTGGTCGGACCTTTGTATAGTAATTAAGATTTAAATCCCCTGTTAGGAAATCTGCTGGGTTAAGGGAATTATCAGTGGTTGGTGTTAAATTACCTTTTTCTAACAGAATAGCCCCATACTTTAAGATTTTTGAGTTAGTAAGCTATCTTTGTGCTTTTTTTGACTTAGAATAATTCTGAAGTGGTGAGGTGTGCTCACAATGAGGTTTCCTCTAAAAGTTACTTCTCTACTTTCTTCTGTTAGCAAAGCAGTTGCCACTACAGATTCAATGGATTTGGGCCATCCGTGGGTTACGGGGTTAAAGATTTTAATAGGAAGGCTACAGGTTGTCAGTGGTCTCAGTGTTTTCAGGCTATGCCGTTGTTTACATTGACAACAAGGTAGTATTGGAGTGTTACAGGGTCACGGAGAAGACCTCCAATTATCAATTATAGGTTTTAAGTTTACCCTGGCTTTTAAAGGAATAGGGCACACTGGTTGTTTTGTTTTGTTTTGTTTTTTACTATTTCTATCTTTTTCTCTCTCTCTTCTCTGTCTCTCTCTCTCCTCCATCTCTCTCTCTGTCTCCTCCATCTCTCTCTCTCTCTCTCCTCCATCTCTCCCTCTCTCTCCTTCTCTTAGCCATTACAGACTTGGGGCCCTGGCAAGGATGGTGGGGAACGGGTCCCACATAACTGCCCATGTCGAGAGCTGTACACCTAAATCGGGAGGGACACCAGGGATAAGACTCCCTGGGTTTATAGCCTAGATGCCTAAGGACACAGCATAGAGCTTCCTTAGATCCTTTGGAGATACAACTTGCTAGAGGAAATGAAAGTCTGAACCATTAGTACCTAGGAGGCAGGGATCAGAGGAAGTCGATTCAGAGGTAAGGAGAATTTTGGGGCTACACTTTCAAGAAAGTCGTGTTTGGGACCCAGGAGGTACAGGTCAGAAGGAAAGGTAGGGGCGCACACATGGGCGACTATTGAGTAGAGACTTCTGGCTGCGCCATGATGTCAACCGGCTAATGCTGGGAGTTCAGGATGACAGCTTTCTGCCTCTAGTTGGCCATCGGCTTCCCCAAGAAAATTGAAAGCGGAAGCTGGTTCTAGGCAGATGAATGCTCCCAACCCAGAAGGGCTGGGGGTTGTTGGAAAGCCCTTAAGACTCACACCTGAGTCTTAAGTCCAGCAGCCACGCTAATCGTTTTTAACTGGCTGAAGGGTGCCCGATATTTTCCTCCAATTCTAAGGAAGGATAGGACAGAATAGCAAGCAAAAGTGGTCAAATATTACTCACGGCTTTAGAGGTCCCTTCTTGGTCGCCAAAATGTTACCGGGGGGGTCCTTGCTCCCAGAGCTCCCAAGATGGTGGCGGGCTGCTTCCAAAATGGCGGTGGGCCACTTCCAAGATGGTGGCAAGCCTCGGGTTCTCTGATTTTGGGTTCTTGGCCTCACGGATTACAAGGAATGGAACCTTGGGCCACGCAGTGAGTGTTATAGCTCTATTAGAAGCCGTGGGTCACGGAAGAGAACCGTGGAACCCAGTGACTAGTGTTCAGCTCGATTAGGATGAACCCAGGCACTTAGCCATGCAGGAACAATGGCAAGCCTTTAGCCCAATCGGGAGCGGCAATGGGCGCATCGCTGGATCAGGAGCACAGCGGACACCCTGCCGGATCCAGAGGGGTGGAAGTCAGCGGCGGTATGCGACGGCGGCAAACGGCAGTGGTGGACTTCGAGCAAAAGCTCAGCTCGAACCATAACAAACACGGACCAGAAGAGAGTGCAGTTGCAAGATTTAATAGCCTGAAAACAGAGCTCCCATACAAAGGGAGGGGCCCCAAAGAGGGTAGCCTGAAAAATAATTTAAAAATATAATCAAATAAAAGAACCTGAAGTCTTGTAACCAAAGAACATAACATTTTCTAATAGGCAAAAATCATTTATTTTTATTTATAAGAATAAAACAAATACAAATTTTTCTAACTTTTCTAAAATCAAATGCTTATCTACACTAAAAAAAATTTAATGTACCTAATACATATAGATGAAAAGATAGAGGTAATTTACATATATGTGTGTGTGTGTATATATATATATATATTTTTTTTTTTTTTTAAACAGTCTCACTCTGTCACCCAGGCTGGAGTGCAGTGGCACAATCTCGGGCTGCTCACTATAACCTCTGCCTCCCAGGTCCAAGCTATTCTCCTGCCTCAGCCTCCTGAGAAGCTGGGGTTACAGGCGCGTGCTACCACGCCCAGCTAATTTTTTGTGTTTTTAGTAGAGTCGGGGTTTCACTGTGTTAGCCAGGATGGTCTTGATCTCCTGACCTCATGATCTGCCCGCCTTAGCCTCCCAAAGTGCTGGGATTACAGGCATGAGCCACCACGCCCAGCCCATATATATTATTAAATCAGAGAAAGGAATGAGGAAGGAGCAATAGGTCTGTCCCTAAATCCTCTGAAGAGTTAATTTTATTATTTAATCGTTGTGTTGAAATGGTTGTGAATATTTTGAATCTAAGAATAAATTTTGCCTTTCTTTTCAAGTGTGTCTTTCAATGAGTATCTTTGAATTCTTATTAAAAGAAAACATTTTAAACTCAGCAATTTGTAGTGTTTTAACATATTTTTGCCTTTAAAGTAATATTAATGCTATCATAATATTTTCTTCTCATCATTCATTCAGAGGAATTTGAAATTTTTATTACTGGAAGGACAATGCTAAATAGAAGTCTTTTACATTCACATCTTATTAACTTAAATGTTAAAAGACAGGAAAAAAAGTGGTTTGGACAGATAAGATGACATGATTATATGTGGAATACTAGAATAGTTCTCTCTTAACAAACAAGTGAAAATAAGTTTTTGCTCTCAAAGTCTGAAGTTGTAATTGTGTAAATGTAGGGGGGAATTGATAATTTCCTTTTTTTAATGAACTTTAAGAGGACTATTTTCATATACAGTATTACATAAAGTCATTAACATTTAGAAACACAGAAATGTTACTGTTAGTTATAACCACACATGTCAAAGGTACAAAAAATATGAGAGAGCATCTATAGCATGGTATGTAAAGGCTTGAATACTCGACCCCAAAAGGCCAGCAATAGCCACTTCCTAGTTGTAATCCATTGAGTAAAATAAGATAATAATAACATCCACTGTGGAGGATTTTGGGGTGAAGATTAATTGACATAATATATGTAAAAACTAAAATGTTTGACACAAAGTAACTGCTCAAAAATATTAATCATCTTTATATTTATTATATAACTATTATGTTTATTGATAAGCAGTTATTAAATTTGACTAATGAAATGCTAATATATCTTTCTTAACACACTCAAATCGAATAATGTTGATATGTCACTTTAAATTTGTCTTAATAGTGCAAAATCAACATTTGAGTTTGTGAGGCTGAAATTTTCTGCTATTTTTAAAAATGTATTAAACCACTCATATGTATGTTTTTGTCAAAGAGTGAAAAAAATCCTATCTAATATTACTAATCTTGGATGTTTATTCCATTGAAAAAAATACATTCTGAAAAATGTTATAAAACATTAAGGCTTATCCTATCATCATAGAAAAGTAAAGTAAAATAAAGTATTTAGCCTTCAATTTTAAAGATTCTGAATCGTAAGTTTGACTATTTTCAGTGCCTCATTCACTTTGGCTGGCCTGCCTCCAATTTTCAGAGCATCCTAATTAATTATTATAATAACTTCTGTGAACTAAATGAACTTGAAAGACCAAAAGGTAGCTATATAGTTAATTAGAAAGGCAGAGGTCACTAGAATAAAGAGGCTCCAAGACATTGTATTTTATTGTATCTAAAAATGTATTTATCCTGTTAAATTACTTCTTCATAACATTTATTTATGCATAAATTGAAACTCTCAAGTAAGAGGAAAGTCACATTTCAATTCTCCTGGCAGCTAGAATTCTTTTTTATATGCTTTTTTTTTTTAAGACAGGACCTCACTCTGTTGCCCAGGCTGGAGTGCAGTCGCATAGTCACAGCTCACTGCAACCTTGACCTCCTGGGCGCAAGCAGTCTTCCTGCCTCATCAGTCTCCCAAGTAGCTGGGACTACAGGCTCATACCAAAATAAGCTAATTTTGCTTATTTTTTGTAGAGAGGGTTCTGTCATGTTGCCCAGGCTGGTCTCCAACTCTGGGGTTCAAGTGATTTGCCCACCTTGGCCTCCCAGCTTTGGGACTCCAGGCATGAGCCATCGTGCCCAGTCTTTTTTATGTACTATTATTTTAATATTACTATTTGAGAACTATTCTGAGAAGACTTAATTTTTAATGTTATGCCATGTTTGTAGTACCAATAGCCATATTATAGAACCTTGCTTTAGGAGTACTGAATAAAGCACAATAACAACCCTCTTGAATCTGTTAAACACTAAAATCTTATTCAGCAGTATATTTATTTTCAGATCAGTTTCATAAACCATCCTGTTGTAAACCAAATTGTGTATCTATTTATATTCTATCAATGTTTAGCTCTGCTTAGATTTTGGAAATGACTGTTTAAAAAAAAGTCTCAAACTAGACTTGAATTTGACAAAGTGTGTATGTAAATTTGTTCTTCAAAGCCAAAAGAGTTTGTATATACACAGACAAACACACACACACACAATGATAGAAGTTAATTGTATTGCCAAGAAGAGCAAAGATCCTTTAGGGTAGTTTCTAACACTGTCTTACAAATAATTTCATTTTAACTACTTAGGCATTTATTAATTACTTAAGTACTTCTACTTCTGGCAGCTCAGTCAGTTTCTAATAGCAGCAGCTTAAAAGTCTGACACTGCATATCTAGAAAAGGTCTTTGTAAGGTATAAATCACAGCTTCCTCTACTCAGTCCTTAGAAGAGGACTCCTTCAGAAAGGCAGCCTCCTGTAAAGGAATACAAATTTCCTTCAAGTCTGATGTATGCGTTAGGGAAACAAGTGACATTGAGAAAGCAAACAGCTTAATAGCAGGTTATAAAGTTCAAAGAAAAGCCACAATTATCTCTCTTTTTTATTTCTTGAATCCAGAAGGGATGGCTGACAGTCTTTTTGTTTCTTATTGCCACTTTCAGATCTTTGCCTTCTTACCATGACTCCAAAATCCCCTCCCTCTTGAAACCCACACCGTCTCCTTTTACATCACCCTTCCTGTAACCACTCTAATTACCATCTACTGACCTAAATATCAGAGGCCATAGTTTTCAAGTAAGTCTTCATTTTCTTTCATTTTCTGTGATAGCCCTTGGGAATTCAAAACATAAGACAGTGTCACCTCACCGTTCCCAGTTTGAACAATGTCTTGGTCTACTTTACGTTGCTAGAAAGGAGTATCTAAGGCTTGGCAACCTATAAAGGAAAGAGGTTTATTTAACTGATGGTTCTGCAGGCTGGACGAGAAGCATGGGCTGGTATCTGCTCAGCTTCTGATGAGGGCTTTTGTGCTACCTCAAAACACAGCAGAGAAAGTCAAAGGGGAAGCAGGCATCTATGAGGAGGAACCAAACTTGAGGCACACCCTACCTTTGTAACAGTCTTCTCTCCCAGGAACTAATTCATTCCCTTGAGAACCAATGTACTCTTGCAAAAGCAAGAACTCTTTCACTACTTCAAGAATGGCACCAAGCAATTTATAAGAGATCTGCCCACATGACCCAAACACATCCCACTGGGCCCCACCTCCCAATACTGCCAAACTGAAAATAAAATTTCAACATGAGATTTGGTGTAAACAAACAATATGCAAACCATAGCAAACAACTTTTGTATATATTCTATTTTATCCTCTCACAAGTTCTGCCTTGGACTTCCTTATTACATCAGTCTAATCCATTGAAAACTTAATTCCAAAATCTGGTACTCTAAAACCATCTTTTCTTTTTTTCTTTCAACCCTTCATTCATACATAACCACGTCTTGACTCCTTCTGGTCCTTCAGTTGATCAGGATGCCCTGATGTTATTTTTTTACAGATTTATCTTAGACCTCAATAATGATAGTGTCAACTTAAAAAAAAAAAGGGAGGAGTAAAGAGAATTATTTCTAAATATATTGAGTTTACCTGAGAATAAAAAGAATGATTATAATCTGGAATAATACATGGAATGGCAAGTCATCAGTGCATTTGGTATGGGAAGAGGAAAGGGGAGCTTTTACTGCAAACAAAACAAAATGTATATATGCTGCTTAGAAACAGAGTTCATTGGTTTCAGAGGTTCGAAGTCAGAGTTGTTGTCAATTCATTGGTGGAAATGTCATTACTGGTCAAGTGTTCTTTAAGAACACTGTCTGAATTAATACAGTCCTAAATAATGTCTAGTGATAAGCCTTATCAAAGCAGGAAATGCATTAAGGGTATTTAGACAGTCCTTGGAAACAAGTTCTTATCTCAGATATAAATGCATCTCCTCTCCTTCTGTCCTTCCTGGCCCTATTTTGTCTGGGTCTAACAAAAGTGATTTCATCCTGGTATCTGCAACTTTCACATTAGTTCTGCTTTCAGAAGCCTCCACTGTCTCAAATTTCCCCATCCAACAGGCAACCTCCGAAACTTGGAAAACCCTAACAACTGTTTTACTCCCACTCCAATACTGCTAAGTGCAAGTGGATTCAGGTTATACATGATCTCTGTGATTTCAGACTGTAAGTTTTTGCATACCATTCTATCAAAGATGTCAAGCATAATGTCTAAAACATATTATTTATAACAGCATTACCACGAAGAACAATAGTTATATATTAAAGTTTACTATGTGCTAGACACTGTACAGTTTAGATGTATCATTTTAGTTCATCTTCTTAGCAATCCTATGAGGTCAATACCATTACCCTTCTCATAATAAAAACAAGTAAAATAAGCATGAGGAAGTTGACACCATTCAATAAATACTTTCTAAAGAAATTGAAGTGTGTTGGTACATTACCCCAGAATTGTTTTAATAGACTTTATTTTTAGAGCAGTTTTAGATTCACAGAAAAATTGATTGGAAGTTACAGAAATTTCTCACATACTACCTGCCCCATACATGTATAGCCTCTTCCATTATCAACATCCCCCACAAGAGTAGGATATTTGCTACAACTGATGAACCTACATTGACACATCATCATCAAGAGTCCATAGTTCACATTAGGGTTCACTCTTGATGTTGTATATTCTGTAGATGTAGGCAAATATATAGTTATATGCATATATATATGATGGACATATATATCCATCATTTTAGTATCATACAGAGTAGTTTCACTGGCCTAAAAATCCTCTATACTCTGCCTGTTCATCTCCTCCTGTTTCCTGGCAATCAGTGATCTTTGTACTGACTCAATAGTTTTGCCTTTTCCAGAATGTCATGTAGTTGGAATAATGCGGCATGTAGTATTTTTGGATTGGCTTCTTTCATTTAGTAATATGCATGTACATTTCTTCCTTGTCTTTTCATGACTTGATAGCTTATTTCCTCTTAGCACTGAATAATTGTCCATTGTCTGGATGTACCACAGTTAATCTATTGACCTACTCAAGGAAATCTTGGTTGAGATTTTTTTTCAAAGTGGCATTAACTCATATCCTCTCAAGTTGAGTCCTGATATCAATATTTAAAGTAGACAAGGTCACATTCTACATTGACTCAGGTAAGACCTGAATGAAACATGTTTATATTTTACTAACTTGCAACAACAAAATGTAACTATTTTAAAATTTATTTTTTAACAACAGCAATAATTAGACCTTTTTAATATTTATCAGTTTTTATACCTGGGCTTATAGTTTCTAAAGCATTTAATTCATCCCCAAAGAGCAACTGAGGCTACCAGAATTGCAGAATCTCATTAATACAATACAATACAGATGTTGATATGGAAACAGGCAGACTTGGGGAAATCTCTTTGAGCCTCACTTTTCTCATCTATAAAATGGGGATTAAAAATAGTGTCTTCCTCATAAAAGTATTTTAAGATTTAAAGACAAGTACAAAAAGTGCTAAAACATTGTCAGCATCAATAAATTGCGATCAGCCCTAAGGGCAATAAAGGAAATGATATCTTCACGTAGAAATTTAAAAACCTGTTTCTCAAATTGTTTTGCATAATTTGCAATTTACACGCGTAATTTCTGACAAAATTCTGAAAATCATTAATGCATAGAATAAAGCAAGTCACCAGGAACTTTTTTAAAATATTTATAATCAATATAATGCAAGCTTTCGGATGGTGAAAAGCAATGGTCACCCACCACATCCCTTCTAAATCCCAATTGCTTTCTCCAGAGGCAGCTACTTCTATGCCTTTTTACTTGTTTTTTTTTCTCACGCTAATTACACTACATTTTCAGCCATACAAGGACACATAAAAGTTACCTCATGTATATTTTCTACAATTACTTGAGTATGTTTTTTATCAAAATAAGTAATAACTAAAAAAATGAGTACACAGTTTTACAGAAATCATGTAATCAATCTTTATATATCTCAACATGTATAAAAGTCAACTCAAAATGTATTAATGTATTAAAGACTTAAAACATAAGACATGAAACTATTAAACTACTAGAATAAATATAGGGAAAACATTTCAGGACATTAGTCTAAGCAAATATATTATAACTAAGACTTCAAAAGCACAGGCAACAAAAACAAAAATAGAGAAAAATGAGGGTATATTAAACTAAAAAGTTTCTGCACAGCAAAGAAAACAATCACCAGATTGAAGAGACAACCTGTTGAATGGGAGAAAATGTTTGCAAACTATTTATGTGACAAGAGATTAATACCAGAAAATATAAAGAACTCGATTTAACGGCAAAAAAAAAAAGAAAAGAAAATAGTGAGCAAAGGATCTGCATAGACATCTTACAAAAAAAGACATACAAATGGCCAACAGGTATATGAAAAACTGCTAAACTTTACTAATCATGAGGGAAATGCAAGTCAATGAAATATCATCTAACCCCAGTTAGAATGGCTATTACCAAAAGGACAAAAAAAAAATGCCAGCAAGGATGCAGAGAAAAGGGCATACTTATATGTTGTTGGTGGGAATGTAAATTAGTACAGCCATTATGGAACGCAGTGGGAGATTTCTTCAAAAACTAAAAATGGAACTACTATATAAGCTAGCAATCTCACTACTAGGTATTTATCAAAAGCAAAGAAAATCAGTATATCAAAAGGATACCTGCACCCCCATGATTAATGCAACGCTATTCACAATAGCCAAGATATGGAATCAACCTAAGTGCCCATCGATGGCTAAATAGATAAAGAAAATGTGGTAAATATACATAATGGACCATTATTCAGTCATTAAAAGAAGGAAATCCTGTCATTTGCAGCAACATGGATGAAAATAGCGGTCATTATGGTAAGTAAAATAAGACAGACATAGAAAGACAAATGTCAATGTTCTAACTTACATGTGGAAGTTTAAAAAGTTAATCTCATGGAGGTAAAGAATAGAATGATAGTTACCAGAGACAGGGAATGGGTGGCGAGGTGGTGGGCAGGTGGAGACAGCATAGAGAGGTAGGTTAATAGATACAAATGAATAGTCAGCTAAAAGGAGTAAGTTGTAGTGTTTGATAGCACAGTGAGATGACTATAGTTAACAGCAATATATTGTATATTTCAAAATAGCTAGAAGACATGAATGTTCACAACAAAAATAAATGATAAATGTTTGAGGTGATGTATATCCTAAATCACTTGACTTGATCATTACACATTATGTACATTTATCAAAATATCACTTGTACCCTATAAATATGTGTAAATATTATGTATCAATTAAAAAGTAGGAAGACTAGAAACTCTAAGAAAAGCAAAAGCTGATAAAGAGATGTATAATATTAGTAGCCACTGCTTCTGCAATAAATATACGTAGCCACAATTGTGTATTTGATTTGTAACTTTTAGATTAAACCTGTTCTAAGCTATGTAAACTTAGTAATGATAAGAAAATAGAGAAATATTATGAACTTCAACAATGTAAAAGTAGAAATTCTATAGTATAAAGCAAAAGAAAATTTAAGGGATCAACAGGGGTTGATGAATATCATTTCACACAGTACAGAGTCAAAAACTACATTTGTTGTTAATGAAAACAAAGAGAAAGTTGATAGAGTGTTACTGAAAGCCACGAAGATAACCAATTAAAACATTTTAAATACTGATATAAACATGTAAGGAGAATGGGGCTTAGCAGGTGGAATAATGGAAGTAATAAACTAAGTTATCATCTATCACAGCAAAAATTCAATAGGTTATTTCTGACACAAACTTTTTTAAAGTAGTGAAAGGAACTTATTAAACTTTCAACTCATTTTCCTGTTTTCAACCCCGTTCAACATCGCAAGTAGTGTTTGTACATCTTCTGGTGTCTCCAAGATAAACTTGCTCTACTTTATGCTATATTCTGCTTGGAGAATGTTCTGGACTGTAGCTACCCCTGCTTTATTGTCTCAGTTATTTGGTGTCCATCTGTTTTGTTTTTTGCCTCACCTACTTTATTGAGGAATAATTTGCATAAGATAAATTATATCAATTTAAAATGCAAAATTCTACGAATTTTAATAGTTGTGTATATCCTGAAGCCACCACCATAATCAAAATAGACATTCAAACCACCTTTAAGAGACTCCTCAGGTTTTTTTGCAGTCCTTCCCTGCCTTTGTCTCTGGACTCTGGCAACCATTCATCTGCTTTTTCGCACCTATATTAGTTTCGTTTTTATGTAAGTAGTATAATACAAAATGGACCCTTTTTATGTCTGGCTTCTTTAACTCAGCATAATGATTTTGAGATTCATCCATGTTGCATGTATCAGTAGTTTCCTGCTTTGTACTAACTGATAAGTAGCATTCAATTGTATGAATGGCACATCTTTTTTATCCATTCACCATTGATGAATTGGGTTGTTTCTAGTTTGAGGCTATTATGAATACAGTGAACATTCATATATAGGATATTTTATGGACATATGCATCTATTCCTCATGGGTAAAGTCCTTGCAATGGAATGGCTGGGTCGTATTGTCAGCCATATTTGTTTAGCCTTTTTTTACAAATGCCAAATAGTTTTCCAAAGTAGTTGTACCATTTTATATTACTATTAATAATGCATGAAGATTCTGTATGCTCCATATTTCCACCAATGTAGGTATTTTTCATCGTTTTATCATCAGCCATTCTAATGAGTATAAACTGGAATTTCATTATCATTTAAAATTTCCCTGAAGACAGTGATGTTGACCATATTCCCTGAGATTTGGACTATTCAAATATCTTCTTTTGTGAGGTATCTGTTTAAATTTTGTGTCTATTTTTAAGTGAGTTTTTTTAAATGAGTTATTAGTCTTATTGTTAACTTATAAGAGATCTGTATATGGTCTGGATACAAATATTTTATCATGCAATTAATTCTCAAGTCTTATGGGTATTGTCTCCCATTCTGTGGCTTGACTTTATTTTTTAACAGTTTTTTAGAAATCAGAAGCTTTATTACACTTTGGTAAAATCAAATTTAATGATTTTTCTTCCACTATAATTTGTATTCCTTTATACTAAGAGACCTTTGCTTAATCTAAAGTAGCTAAAATTTTCTCCAGTGTTGTATGTTTTATTGTTTTGACTTTTATGTCTATGATTCATTTCAAGTTAATTTTTGTGTATCTGTAAAGAATTGATAATCATTATTTTTAATATGGATAACTAGGTATTTAATAGACTTTCCTTCACTCCAGTGGATTATCTTGGCACTGTCTTCAAATATCAACTGAACATATATTTGTGAGTCTATTTGAGGACTCTTTAAAGTATTGCTATGACGTATATCTCTGCTGTTCACCAATACCACACTGTCTGTATTATAACTTTAGAGTAAGTCTTGAAATCAAGAATTGTGCATCTTAAACTATGTTCTTTCTTAAAATATGTTTACCTTTCCATGTAAATTTTGGAACCAGCTTGCCAGCTTCTAAAGACAACCCCACTTGAATTTTGACTGGGACTATGTGGAATCTATAGATAAATTTGGGAATAATTAACATTTTAATTATACTGAATCTTTAAATATATGCCTTCCATTTATTTAGGTCTTCTTTAAATTTCTCTCAACCATGTTCCATAATTTTCAGAGCAGATGGTTTGTATATCTTTGAAAAATTAATTCCCAAGTACTTTATGATTTTAGTGTTCTTAGATATGACTTTTTAAAAATTCATTTACCAATTATTTGCTATTATATAAAACTACAATTGATTTTTATTAACGTTGTATCCTGCAACTTGGTAAAATTCGCTTACTTTAATAGTTGATTTTTAGATTCCTGTAGATTTTCAAAGTAAATAGATTCATCATTTCCAAATGGAGACAGTGTTATCTTTTTTTTCTGATCCTCATGAATTATTTTCTCTTGCTTTTTTAGCCAGGTCTATGACATACAATGCTGAATAGAAATGGTAAAAGTAAGCATCTTTGTTCCCAGTCTTAGGAGAGTACCATTAAGACTTTCACAAGGAAACAGGACGTTAGGTGCAGATTTTTTATAAATGCCTCTTATCAGATGGAGGCAGTTCCTTTCTATTCCTACTTTTCTAAGAGTTTTTATCAGGAATAGATGTTAAATTCAATCAGATGGACTTTTTTTCTGATTCCAGTGAAATGATATCATGGTATATCTCTTTCATTCTCTTAATATGTTAAATTATATTGATTGATTTCTTAATCTTAAGGTAACTCTGCATTCCTGAGATAAATCTCACTTGGTCAGGATATGTTATCTTTTATAAATATTGCAGGATTCAACTGCTAACATTTTGGTAAGGATTTTAACATTTAATTTCACGGAGAGAGTGGGTCTTTTTCTGTTTTTGTTTTTTGTGTCTTTCTCTGGTTTTGGTCTCAGGATAATTATGAAATCAGAAAATCATATGAAAATGTTTCTTTCTCTTCTATTTACTCAAGGCATTTGTATTAAATTTATATTGCTTCTTTTTTAACTATTTGATAGAATTTACCAAAGAAACCATATGGAATCAGATAAGGTTCTCCAGCTTATCTATTTATTTTTCAGTAAACTTTAGTACTTTGCATCTTTCAAGGAATTTGTCCATTTAATCTAAGTTGCCTAATTTGTTGACATTAGTGTTCTTAATACTCTTTTTTTATCCTTTTAATATTCATATGATTTGTGTAGAAAACCCATTTTTCATTTCTGATATTGCTGATTTGGCTTTTTTAAATCAGTCTAATTACTGATTAAAAGTAATTAAAATTAAAAGTAATTCCATTACTTTTGTTGATCTTTTTAAAGAAACATCTTTTGGCTTTTTTCATTTGTCTGTTTTTTATGTCTTTGATGTCAGCTCTTATTTTATTATTTTGTTTCTTCTACTTGGATTTAGTTTGCGCTCCTCCTTCTAGTTTATTAGGATAAAACCATAGGTCACTGATTTATAATATAAAAATAAGCTCTAAATCCCCTCTAAGAATAGTTTAGTTGTCTCCCAAAATTTTGACATACAGTATTTTAATTAACATTCAGTTAAAATTATTTTAAATTCCCCTTGTAATTTTTTATTGGAGTCATGGATTATTTAGATGTATGCTGTTCAATTTTCAAATACTTATATTTTGTTAAATATCTTATGTGTATTCTGCAGTTGTTGGGTATTCTAAATATAAATTAGACCAAGGTGGAAAATTGTGTTGTTTAGATCCTTTATATCCTTACTGTTTGGGTGGTTGTTTTTTGTTTTTGTTTTTGTTTTGTTTTGTTTTATTTTCTGGTCTAATTGTTCCATCATTAGCTTAGAGAAGAGTTTTTTAAAACTTCTAATATGTTGGAGTGACTGTCTGTCTCTCTTTAATTCTGTGTGCCCTTGAGTACACTGACTCCCCAAGTAGGGTTGTTAGCTCATTAAAAACATGTAAAACCCTTGAACAATGCATGGTTTATAGGAGGCACTCCACAAACATTAATTCTAAACAAACACTCTTTGTTTACTCAGGAAGCTAACCTAGTCTCCATTTTAGCCCTACAAGGATATTAAAATCATTCTTTAGAAGATTGCTAATGACTTTCTAACAGCCAAATCCAGTATCCCTTTACCCACACGTTATCTAGTCCAGTTCTGCTGCATTTGACACTGCTATCACCATTCCTTTCTTAAAAATGTCTCTTCCCTTGGTTTCTGTGATGTAGTCTCTGTTATTTTGCCATCTCTCTTGCCAATCTGATTGTGCCTTATCTCCTTCACAATTAGAGGTGTTCCCACAGGATCATATGTTAAAACTCTTTTTACTTTATATTTCCTCCCTTATTTTTTCCACTGCCACTTTCTCAACCACCACCACCACCATGCATTTGGTACTCCATCTTCCTCATCTCTGAACTTTCAACTGATTGTCAGATCCATATTGTCAACTGACTAATGAATATTTTATCAGGGTAAAATCCCTGCACCCAAATTAAATATGTCTAAGTATAAACTTATTACCTTGATATCTTACTCTGAAACTTTTAATTTACTTGAGTTACATATCTATGTTGTTTGATGTACTTAATCTCTTAGTCACTCAAGCAGAAAATATTACCATTCTGAGGAAGACAATAGCATATAATGGTTAGTACCAACAGCTCTAGAAATAGAGTGAGTTCAAAACCTACTCTCTGAGACTCAATTCTCACATTTTTATGGTTGGAATAGTACCTAAATGCTAGTATTATTAGGAGTTTAATGAGACTGTGATGTATAAGGCAATTAGTACACCATAAATTTTTGCCCTCCTTATAATATCCAAATTCTCCCTTGCTTCCTACATGTATTCATTGCCAAAGTCTGGCAATTGAGAGCGCTTTGTTTTCAACCCATTGTATGGTCACTTTGTTACTTTAATATTTTAATGTATTATTTCTAGTAGAAATCTAATAGAGCCTCTTTTACTTCAATTTTGCCAATTAGAAAAAAGTAACAACCAAAATTAAAGAATGGTTTGAAAAATACTGTAGTTACATCAAGAAAGTGGTACTTTACTTAAATTCGCTTTGTTAAACCTCCAACAATGTCAATATCAGAGAGACAAATATGAAATGTAAAAAGTGCATTGTTGAAAGGATTTAAGATGTTGACTTAGGGATAGCTCATGCTGTTCTGATAATATGAATTTCTTAGTGTAATAATTAAATCTACACTGGGATACGATGTGAGACCACCATGGGTTTTTTTTTTTTTTTGAGAATTATGTGTTTTACAGATTAAATAAGCATGAATCAGTAACTTAACTAGTGAAGTAAGCACATATTTAAACAGGTTCTCCAAATGAATACAAATGTCATTTATATAGAAAAAGATATCAAACTTTAAATTGTTTATTTTCCATCTGAAAAAATCCTTAAATTCAGCAGCTATTCAAAAAGTTGGGCTTGTTGAATAAATAGTAACATTATTTCTTTTACTTCTTTATGGAAATACTTATATTCTCATCTTGATCCTTAAAAAACAATAATTCTCAGCCTAGCTACACATTAAAATCACCTAGGTAGTGTTTTAAAATCCCAACGCCTCTGCCATACCCCAATCAATTAAATTGGAATTTGTGGGGCTGAAAAGCAGGCATCAACATTTTTAAAGGTCAGTAGATGATTCCAGTGGCAGCCAGCAAATTGAGAACAGCTGCCTTTTCACTACTTGATGAGCCTTCATTTACCCCTGTGAGTGGCTACTAATATGCAATTTGGAAAACATCCTAAATAAATCACAAAAAGAAGTGGTCATTGTAAGTATCAGAAAATAGTAGCTGCCCAGATGGTTTATAAAGGGAAGAATCATTGCTTCCTTAGACAGTAATTCTCAAAACTGAAGGAGTAGTCTGGGTCCTTCTAGGAATAGCAAAAGCCAAAGGAAATTGACTTTAAGTGGATTTTTGTGAGTAGGGAAAGAATATGGGTTTGAAGCCAACAGAACCTGTATTGAATTTCAGTTGTGCTATTTTAACTGATTATGTGACAATAAACAAATAACTAGACCATTCTGAGTTCCCTCATCTACATAAGGCTATATTTTTGTTGTGAGGGTATTATGAAGTCATAATTTATATAAATTATATAGAAGCATCTTGCATGGATTCAAGTACCATGGTAAGTGCACAACAAAGATTAGTTCCAAATTTCTCCTACCTCTATGCCTTTCCTATTCTCTGTTACTTGGACTTGGGTTTATTAAACTTAAATTAACTCATCTGTAATCAGAGTGAGTCGTTTGAAATCTGTCATGTTTGATGCAGCCTGACTTATATGGTGGTAGACTGCTTACTAATGACTATCATGCTACTTTACTCTTTAAGCCACCTGTGACCTGGAAATCAGATGAAAAGTAGCTGGAACTCTCTTTAGAATTTCCTAACTGTGTTTTCTAAAACTCTGAATGTCGCAAAAAGTGTACTTGGTATGGTGCACACACACACACACACACACATACACACAAACTTTCTGATGTCAAATAAAGTAGGGAAAAGCAGTATACTGGGGTTCCCCTATGAGAGATGTCCAGTGGAAAGTAAAATACTGAAGTTTCAGGGAAGTTCTTCAGTTGAGATGCCTTTTTACCCAGGATTTCCCAATTTTATTTGACCACCCTTCCCCACTACAAGCACCAATCAACAATTATAGTAGTCCAAGTCCAAAGAGCATAGATTGAGAATACTAACGAATGATATTATTGATGACTAGTCAAAAGCAAGAAAATTAATTTGATATGCTCCTCCTTGTCATTGGAAGAGACCCCATTCCGAGCCAACTCTAATCAAAGGAGGAAGCCAAAAAGTGTGGGAGAGGTTTTAAATTTTGAGATGAAAATGTTAAATTAGAGATTTAAAGTAGAAAGTTTCATCAGTATCCTGGCTACTTGTGCTGTTAAATTTTTTTATAACTTCAGCTGGGCTTCGTGGCTCACATTTATAATCCCAGCATGTTGGGAGGCCTAGATGGGAGGATCACTTGAAGGCTGGAGCTTGAGACCAGCCTGGGCAACATAGTGAGACCCATCTCTATTCTAAATGAATGAATGAATGAAACATAACTTTAAAATTTTTTTGAACTTTAATGTATTACATGTGAACACAGTATCTAATATCTCACCCAGCGAGACAACTTCACTGTGTGACAAAAAATTATACTCAAATCCATTGTTTTCTTATTTTGTAACCTGAAAAATGGAAAGTAATGGAGGTAGTATAAAAGAGAGGTAATAAGATCTAAAAAAAAAAAAAGAATAAAAGGTTTACAGAAATTCTACCAAATATGACAAAATGTGTAAGGGTTGTCAGATAAAATATAGGACAGCAGGCTAAATTTGAATTTCAGACAAACAATACATATTTTTGTCAGTATAAGCATGCAATATCATAGACATACTAAAAAATGATTCATTGTATATCTGAAATTCAGATTTAACTGAGAATTCTTATTCTTTCATTTGCTAAACCAGGCAACCTCAATGTGCTATCTACATTGCATCAAAAATGACGTACATTGAATATAAGCAAAAATAAAGATTTTTTTTAGTTTTCAAACACTGGCATGCCAAAAGTAATAAAGAAAGACAGACAACTTGGATTTTTTGCAAACAAATGATAAAAATTAGGACCAGCCTGAGAATTCAGAATAGCTGATTTGGCTACTACTTAGGATAGTAATATTCAAGGGGGAAAATGGAAAACTAAAAAGCAAATCTTAATTAAATTTTGCATGAACTGCATAGAGAAATAAAGATTGACAGTGTGAAAAATAGGTACAAAAGCTATTTCAAACTGCAATTTATTTGTGTTATGAATCAATAAATAGCTTTATTTGAATAAATGTAAAATTCCTTTAGCATAAAACTAAAGATAAGCCGAGAGAAATTTATGCACAACAGAGACGACATGAACTTCATTATACTTAAGTCAACATGTGAGAATTGTGCTGTCAGAGAACTATTTCTAAAAATAAAAAAGGAAGTTAAATGTATGCCAGTGTTATGAATTCATTCATTATAAATATAAGAGATGTTTTCCTTTTATGTTTATATTAGCAGGATATGAAGTAATCAGAAATTCATTTGAAAACTAAATTATACAAATGGTATTGATTTGTATTTTATTTTAATATTTGTACTCTTCAGTTTTATATATACAGAATCTCTGAAGTATCTAACTAATGGGAAAAATGTAAACACAGAATACAACTGACAATTTACTTTGTCCTTGCTTGGAAAGAACATTTTAAAATAATGAAAATTAAATTATTTCCAATATAACTCTTAAGCAAATGCAGACAACCTTCCCCTCACCAGATATTCTCTCTTTGGTTGTAGTTTAATCTAGTGATACTAATAGACAATAAATACCATTTTAACAACCCTGAAAATTATGTATTTTTTTTACTTTCTTGATAAATTCTTAATAGAGCAAATAATCATGTGTAATTTAATCCTCTTCAGTAATTTGCTAAGATTAAAAATACTGATTTATACTCTGATAATGATATTTTACAAAATTTGTTAATACATGGAAAATTAATGGTCTTGGGCAAGGGTTAGTGACATTTTTAACCTTCTGGTCAAATAAATCTACCGAATGTCAGTTATTGGACTTCTTCTTTATTGAAGCATCCTTGTTTTCTTGATTTGTTTTTCACAGTTGATAATTTAATGTACAAGCCAAATCTATCCTAAGAATATTTTCCTGTGCTTCTGGACAATAATCAGAAACAGTTATACTATTTCTGAAAAAGTATTGCACTATCAGTAGAGCAGTTCCTGCCACAACTATCTCTAGGAAAGCTTCTTATATTAGTCAAGAAGAAGATGCTGAGTTATCCTGATGTGCCTAATTGCCTAAACATGAAGAACTTTTAAAACTCAGACTTACTTTCACTAAATCTTTATTTGTCCCAAAAGTGAAGCCCCACAAGGAATAAAACAATGAGCCATTTGCTGTGTATTGTCCTCCAAGATGACAATAACTATCCTCTCTCCTCCAACGTGGCAACCTCCAGATTCTATGCCTTTTGACATTTCTGTGGGCCTCAAATGTTTTCTACAATATTAGGTCTTTGCAGGAAATCCATGATTTTATAGTTCAGAACCAAGAAGCTCTGAGTTTATGATCCCTCAACTTCTCAATGGAGGTGAAAGGATTTGAGAGAAAACATCTATGCTGGCACCTGAGGGTTAGAGATCTTAACTTTCTGTAAATTTATGTCATGGTTTATCCCAACCTATCTAGCAACATATGTGCTTTGTCTTTCCAACTGAGTTGTAAACCCTTTGGAAGCAAGGTCTATACTTCATTCTTACTCTTCAGAGCCCCAGAGCACCAGGTTCATACTTGGTGGGAGTTCATTAATAATTCAGAAATTAATACTAAGGAGTCAAATGCATCTTTCTTTCATTTATCTCCAGGAACTTTCTCCAATCCAAGCCAGCTTTCCTTGCATTCCTTGCAGCAGGACTCAGGAACCCAAACTAGTGTCTTTTTCCTCTAACACCCTCACAAGCCCCTTGAGGCTCTTTTTCCCTAAATTGGCTGCCGGGTGCTTTAACTCAATTATCACAGGTCTCCACTGACTTCCACTTAAGGATTTGGATTAACTATAAAACTGCTATATAATTGTCCTTGAATATTAGAATATAAAACTATAATATATTCCTCACCCTTAATCTGAATTATTTCCTTCTGGGTATACATGACGCCAAAGTAAATCACTCCTACAGCTCTGATGTCATTTATTTACCCATAAGCATACCAATAAAAATAAGCAACATGGAGTAATTAGTAATAAAATTCTAAAATACTATTTGATATTTAGAGTTAATCAACGTAGTTTGGAGTAATCGCTCCTTTTTTGAAATTCCTTTTGCTGCCCTCCTCCTCCCTGAGCCACAACTCCTGACTCCACTCTCCAGATGACATCTGATAGCACCATACTCTGAAACCAATCCAAACCCTCTTCTCAGAGTTTACCAATAGGACAGAGTGCTATTGAGTAAATTAACTGCTGTATGAAGCCAGGCAGTTGAACAGGAAGGTTATACAACACTGGGGCCAGGACTGAAAACAGAGGGTTAGTAAAGGGAAAGAAGAGCAAAGAAAAATGTAGATGGGAGAGACCACTAGGATCTGGAAAGATAGTAAGAGATGTTCCTTTCCAGTTTCCTTTCCAGTCCTCTGAGTAGCCCAGCTATAATTTGTTTCCTGCCTGATATGATATGGCTGTATCCTTATGCAAATCTCATCTTCACTGTAGCTCCCATATTTCCCAGGTGTCACGGGAGGGGCTTGTAGGAGGCAATTGAATCATGAGTGTGGATCTTTCCCATGCTGTTCTCATGATAGTGAATAAGTCATGAGATCTGATGGTTTCATAAAGGGTTCCCCTACACAAGCTCTCTTGCCTGCTCCCATGTAAGATGTGCCTTTGCTCCTCCTTTGCCTTCTGCCATGATTGTGAGGTCTCAGCCATGTGGAACTGTGAGTCCATTAAACCTCTTTTTTAAAATAAATTATCCAGTCTCAGCTATGTCTTTGTTAGCAGCATGAGAACAGACTAATATACTGCCCCTGTGTGATGTGAAGTCACTTGTTGATGACCTCTTTTTCTTAAGCTGATTTAATTGGATTTCATTTTTTATAAACAGTCATGCCCTTCATAAACCCAGATTAATTCAGTTAATAATATGAACTTGCAGAAAGTCTGAATTGGTGACATACATTTCTAAGCGAGTAATATTCTACATTATGGAGTCTAAAAAGATGTTTCAAAATCTGTTTGATACACATCTCCTATCATTTTTTGCACAATTCACATACTTTTCATATATATTGCAAAACTAAATATCAATCCAAAGGATATAAGTATTGTCAAATTATGAAATAGGAGGATGAAAATTGTGAGATTAAATTGGACTAAAGCAAGATTTGAAAATGGCACATCATTTCCTTTTGGACCTTCCATACAGTTAAAAAGCCTTTTGAAAGTATGCTGGCTTCTTAAAAATAAAGTCAATAGACATATTCCAGGGACACTAGATAATAATGTCTTTAGGATAATAACTGGCGACACACCTTATTTGGAACAACTTTTGCAAGGAGATACTAAACAACCACAGAATTAACACAAATGCCTGAGATTATATCCACAAAGCACTAATTTTAGATAGCTTACACAATACAAAATTTAGCAAGGAGTACTAAGGCAAGGAATGTGCCTGTGAATTCTTCTTCAAGTCAATGCCAAAAGCTTATTGACTAAGGCTGTTTATACCCGGATTAGAGCCACATCAGCTGAAACTAACACTCCACCCTCTTCCCTTAGTTCCCTTGCATCTCAGATGGCCTATTAAATTCTTTACTAAAATGTCCTTTAGGGACTTCATATTATGTCTTCCTCCTCCTAGACATAATAGGACATTAGAAGAGTCTCTTATTGCATTCAGACTACTATAACAAAATTCCAAAAACTGAGTGGCTTATAAACAACAGAAATCTATTTCTCACAGTTTGCAGGCTGGGAAGTCCAAGAGCAAGTCACCAGCAGATTTGGTGTCTATGTTCCTCATAGACAGCCGTCTTCTCACTCTAACCTCAGGTAGTGGAAGAAGCCAAGGACCTTTCTCAAGCCTCTTTTATAAAGACACTAATCCCATTCACGAGGGCTTTGCCCCCATGACCTAATCACCTCCCAAAGACCTCCCCTCCTAATACCATAACCTTGGGAGTAAGGATTTTAATGTATAAATTTGGGTAGACATAAACAATTCACACCATGGCAGAAAGATATCAGAACTGTTACATAACTAACTTCTGGATCAGTCTTTCCCATTTTTGTGAGCTTTTTCTATCCAAAGAAGAAAATTGATGGCTAAATGTGATGTCTTATGTCTGTTGCATGTTAAACTTCACCTTTGATAGAAAAATAATGGTCTGTCACATGGACACTCTTTGCATTGTGATTTCTTAACCTCGTTTTATGACAATTAATATTAGGCAGAAAATGATATATTAGTTAAATTTTAAGTTGATGACTCAATTCAAGTGATTTTTTTCATCTTCATTAGTGATCTAAGAATTAAAATAAATACTTGCTGATTAATTACATTATTTTACATACTTCTTAAGACTCATAAGATAAAAGATAACCCCTTTGTCAGGGCGTGGAAAATTTCTTAAGTACATTAACTCATATACTCTTAATTAGTTAAGAGTAGAATTCCATCACACATTTTACAAAAATACCTTGTGCTTCCCCACAACAAGACATATAATCCAACAATGTTCCTTTCCTACTCTCATATGGCTACAGAGGATTTCCAAGAAATAATTTGCATTAACTCATATACTCCAACTTTATACTCTTAATTAGTTAAGAGTATATGAGTTAATGCAAATAAATTAAACCTACAAATGAAATTTGCTTACAGAATTATTTACATAATTTATTGACTTAGAAAAGTTCTACTACGTACAATGAAAATATTGTCTATCCTAATAGTAAAGAAATTTAAATAGAAATTGGTTGAATGACATTTGTTTAACTCTTTTGCTTATAGTACCTCTTCTGAATGAAAACATCAATACCTCAGCCAGGCACAGTGGCTCACATCTGTAATCCCAGCACTTTGGGAGGCCAAGGTGGGCAGATCACTTGAGGTCAGGAGTTTGAGATCAGCCTTGCCAACATTTTGAAACTCTGTCTCCACTAAAAATACAAAAATTAGCCGGGCATGGTGGCACACTCCTGTAATCCCCGCTACTCAGGAGGCTGAGGCAGGAGAATCACTTGAACCAAGGAGGCGGAGGTTACAATGAGCTGAGATTGTGCCACTACACTCCAGCCTGGGTGACAGAGTGAAACTGTCTCAAAAAAAAAAAATAGAATACAGGGAAAGTGGTACCTCAAGGAGTGATACGGCTTGGCTGTGCCCACCCAAACCTCAAATTAGAGCTCCCATAATTCCCACGTGTCATTAGAGAGATCCGGTGGGAGGTAATTGAATCATGGGGGGGGGTGGGTAGGTCTTTCCTGTGCTGTTCTCATGATAGTGAAAAAATGTCACGAGATCTGATGGTTTTATAAAGGGGAGTTCCCCTGCTCATGCTTTCTCTCTTGCCTGGCACCATGGAAGACATGCCTTTCACCTTCTGCCATGATTGAGTGGCCTCCCAAGCCATGTGGAACTGTAAGTCTATTAAACCTCTTTTTCTTTATAAATTGCCCAGTCTCAGGTATGTGTATCAGCAGCACGAGAACAGACTAATACAGCAAATTTGTACCAGTATAGTAGGGCGCAGCTGTAAAGATACCTGAAAATGTGGAAGCAACTTTGGAACTGGGCAACAGGCAAAGGTTTGAACAGTTTGGAGGGCTCAGAAGACAGGAAGATGTGGGAAAGTTTGGAACTTCCTGTAGACTTGTTGAATGGCTTTGACCAAAATGCTGATAGTAATTTAGACAATAAAGTCCAGGCTGAAGTAGTCTCAGATGGAGATGAGAAACTTGTTGGAAGCTGGAATACAGGTGACTCTTGCTATGTTTTAACAAAGAGACTGGTGACATTTTGCCCCTGCCCTAGAGATTTGTGGAATTTTGAACCTGAGAGAGATGATTTAGGGCATCTAGCAGAAGAAATTTTTTTTTTTTTTGAGACAGAGTTTCACTCTTGTTGCCCAGGCTGGAGTGCAATGGCACGATCTTGGCTCACTGCAACCTCCAGCTCCCAGGTTCAAGCAATTCTCCTGCCTCAGCCTCCCAAGTAGCTGCGATTACAGATGCCTGACATCACGCCCAGCTAATTTTTGTATTTTTAGTAGAGACAGGGTTTCACCATGTTTGTCAGGCTGGTCTCAAAACCCTGACCTCAGGTGATCACCCACCTCACCCTCCCAAAGTGCTGGGATTACAAGCATGAACCACCGCACCTGGCCAGGCAGAAGAAATTTCTAAGCAGCAAAGAATTCAAGAGGTGACTTAAATGTTAAAAGGATTCAGTTTTATGTATTCACAGGATATGGTTTGGAATTGGAACTTAAGTTTAAAAGGGAAGCAGAGCATTAAAAGTTTGGAAAATTTGCAGCCTGACAAAGCGGTAGGAAAGAAAAACCCATTTTCTTAGGAGAAATTTAAGCTGGCTACAGAAATTTAAAATAACTAATGTAGAGCCAAATATTACTCTCCAAGACAATGGGAAAAATGTCTCCAGGGCATATAAGAGACCTTTGTGGAAGCCCCTCCCTTCACAGGCCCAGAGGCCTAGAAGGCAAAAACGGTTTCCTGGGCTAGGCCAAGGGCCCCCCTGTTGTATGCAGCCTGGGGACTTGGTACTCGGCATCCCAGCCACTCTAGCCATGGCTAAAAGGGACCAAGGTACAGCTTGGGCCATGGATTCAGATGGTGCAAGCACCAAGCCTTGGCAGCTCCCACGTGGTATTGAGTCTGCAAGTGCACAGCAGTCAAAAATTGAGGTTTGGAAACCTCCGCCTAGATTTCAGAGGATGTATGGAAACACCTGGATGTCCACCCAGAAGTTTGCTGCAGGAATGAAGCCCTCATGAAGAACCTCTGCTAGGGCAGTGTGGAAGGGAACGTGTGATTGAAGCTCTCACACAGATTCCCCACTGGGGCACTGCCTAGTGGAGCTGTGAAAAGAGCACCGCTATCCTCCAGACCCTGGAATGGTAGGTCCACTGACAGCTTGCGCCTGTGTGCCAGGAAAAGCCACAGACACTCAATGTCAGCCTGTGAAAGCAGCCGGGAGGGAGGCTGTACCCTGCAAATCCACAGGAGCAGAGCTGCCCAAGACCATGGGAACCCACCTCTTGCATCAGCATGACCTGGATGTGAGACAGGGAGTCAAAGGAGATCATTTCAGAGCTTTAAGATTTGACTGCCCTGCTGGATTTTGGACTTTCACGGGGCCTGTAGTCCCTTTGTTTTGGCCAATTTCTCCCATTTTGAATGGGTGTATTTACCCAGTGCCTTTACCCCTACTGTATCTAGGAAGTAACTAACTTGCTTTTTATTTTATGGGCTCACAGGCGGAAGGGACTTGCCTTGTCTCAGATGAGACTTTGGACTGTGGACTTTTGAGTTAATGCTGAAATGAGTTAAGATTCAGGGGAACTGTTGAGAAGGCATGATTGGTTTTTAAATGTGAGGACATGAGATTGGGAGGGGCCAGGGTGGAATAATATGGTTTGGCTGTGTCCCCACCCACATGTCAAATTGTAGCTTCTATATTTCCCACGTGTTGTGGGAGGGACCCAGAGGGAGGTAATTGAATCATGGGGGCACATCTTTCTCATTCTGTTCTCATGGTAGTAAATAAGTGTCAAGAGATCTGATGGTTTTATAAAGGGGAGTTCCCCTGCACATGCTTTCTCTCTTGCCTGCTGCCATGCAGACATGGCTTTTGCCTTCTGCCATGATTGTGAGGCCTCCCCGGCCACGTGGAACTGTGAGTCTTTTAAACTTCTCTTTCTTTATAAATTACCCAGTCTCAGGTATGTCTTTATCAGCAGTGTGAGAACAGACTAATTCATGGAGGATGAGAGGTAAATGTAGGTTGCAACATTAAGCAGAGTAGTGGGAATTTGAGCAAAGATTTGAAGGAGTTGGAGTTAATTAACCAAGTGGTTATCTCAGGTAAGATACAGGGGAACAGCTAGAACAATAGTTCTAAGTTAAGCATGTATCTGAATCCTCTGGTGGGGGCAGGGTTTAAAACACATTGATGAGTTTCATTCCCAAAGTTTCTGATTCAGTATCAAGGATGGGGACAAGAATTTACATTTCTTAAAGTTCCTAAGTGATGCTGTTGCTATTGATCCAGAAACTACACTTTGAAAATTGCTGAGGTAGAGGAAAAGCCCAAAGTGGGAATGTACATGAGAAATACAAATGTTTCCCTGAGCGAGGGCCACACAGGGAATAGCTGGAGCTATTCTAAAATAATTTTACTCAAGAGGGCTCCCTTCAGAGCCTGTGGGCTGAGAACCAAAAAATTGTGTGTACTAAGGGCAGAATTTCTGTGATCAATTGGAAAAGATAAGAGCTCTGCCTTGAAATTCTCACTTTCTCTCAACTAATGAAATTCACCCTTGTTTTCAAGACACGGATTCCTTCCCTTATAATCTAAACTTATTTCCCTATTGGTGTCTTTATTTACATTTGACTTTAGCTACTTTTCTGTTATAATATCTTCAGCTCCCTAGTTACCATGTGCTTCCCCACAGCAAGATATATAATCCAACAATGTTTCTTTTCCACTCTTATATGGCTACTGAGCATTTCCAAAGAAAAATTTCACAGTAGTATAGATTGATGCCTATTCAACTTTAAATGATACACAGAATTTGTTTATCTGCCTTTGTTCACCTTCCTTCCTATAGCAACTCTGCCAAATGTTCCTCTTACCTTCATGATCCCTGCCTCCTCCCCTTCCACAGATGACACTACCTTCCATCCAAAGAGAAAATAGAAATTATGACACATGAAGTTTCTGCCATTTTCTACCAACACCTTAACACATACATGCTCACATATTCACCAGCTGTAAATTTACTTCCTTCACTTACCTTCTTCTTTCTGGCCTCAAATAAGATAAGGCAAGATACTTGGAAAAGTATGTGACATCAACTGAAGTATTCAATAAATTTGATTGGTTCGTTTCAGTCTTTTATTTTTTTTAATAGGTAACAATGGCCGGGCATGGTGACTCACACCTGTAATCCTAGCACTTTGAGAGGCCGAGGCAGGAGGATCACTTGAGCCCAGGAGCTTGAGATTAGCCTGGGCAACATGATAAAACCCCGTTTCTACAAAAATTAGCCAGGTGTGCTGGGGAGTGCCTGTAATCTCAGCTACTAGGGAGTCTGAGGTGGGAGGATCACCAGAGCCCAGGAAGTTGACTCTGACATGTGCTGTGATCATGCCACTGCACTACAGCCTGGGTGACAGAATGAGACCCTATCTCAAAAATAAAATAAAATAAAATATTAAAAAGTAAGTAACAAATGCATAATGGGTGCAAAATTTTAGAGTCTCTCCAAACTGTTTCCTTAGACACACATTCCTTGGAGATAATCACAGTTAACCACCTCTTGTGTATCTTTCTAGAAATATTCCATATACAAATAAGCAAGTACATTTATAAATTGTTTTTACATAAATAGTAACCTGCCATGTACACTTTTCAGCACTCATTTTCACTTTAAAATATGTTTTGGAAATTCTTTCATATCAAAATATAAAGAGCTGCTTTGTTCATTTTATGTATATACAATAATTTATTTGCCTACTTCTACTGATATACATATTCATTTCTACCACATGCAAATATACTTATAGGGGAAGTTCTTAGAAATAGAATGACTGGATAAAAATGATTGCCATATTGTCTCCATGGGCTTACCAATCTATGTCAGCAGTGTGTTATTGTGCATGCTTTTCCTCACCCTCAATTAACACACAGTGTTTTTCATTCGTTCATTCATTTATTAAATAATGTTTGAGTGACTAGCAGGAACCAAATTTTGTTCTAGGCCCAGGGATTAAAGTCTGTGCCCTTCTAGATCTTACATTCTAATGAGGGAAGACATATAATAAATTATAAATGGTGGTTAAATTTGTAATTCAAATTTTTACTTTGCCAGATTTAGTCCCATTACCATATACATATATCAAAGTATGTTTGTGTTTTACAATAATCAATTTTCTCAACTTAAAGTTTCCATCTATTGCTTGCCTTTTCTAAAATTTCTAAATTTGAAGTGTTTTATTAGTAACCAAATCTTTTAAATGAGTACTTCACATACATTTTCCCAATTTCTTCATCTTTTATTCATCCTTGAATATATTGTCTTCACCAATCTCTGGTGACTACAGATGCACAAGGTTGTGATTAATCATCTATGTATTTTAAATTACATTTCAATCCAGATCTGCCTTCTAGACAACTAGACAACTCCATGTGGGCTATCTCATGATACCTTAGTCTCAATGTGTTTGAAACTACTTATTACTTTCCCCTGACCCTATATTCTTTTCAATCCCTTCTAAACCTCCTTTTCTTGTGTTCCCAATCATGTAAATGACATTATCATCCACTAGTTGCCCATCGAGTAACAGAGGAATCAAACCTCCTTCTTCCTCAAGTCTCACCTCCTCCCCTCCAAAAATAAGCTATAGAATCATGTCATACGCTAAAGAAGCTTAAACCTGTTTTCTTTCTCTCCATCACCTTGTTTCATTTTTTTGGCTAGAGTCTCATTGTCTCACATCTCAGCTGCTTAATAATAATACCTGGCCTGGAGCAGTGACTCACACCTGTAATCCCAGCACTTTGGGAGGCCGAGGCAGGTGGATCACCTGAGGTTAGGAGTTCAAGACCAACCTGGCCAACTCCATCTCTACTAAAATACAAAAAAAAAAAAAAATTTAGCCAGGCATGGTGGTGTGCACCTGTAATCCCAGCTACTCGGGAAACTGAGGCAGGAGAATCGCTTGAACCCGGGAGGCGGAGGTTGCAGTGAACCGAGATTGCACCATTGCACTCCAGCCTGGGTGACAAGAGCAAAACTCTCTATCAAAAAAAATAAGTAATAATAATCCCTATCATGGACTCTAATTTTTACCTATTCTGCTTCATCTTCGGTCGCTCTCCATTGCCTCCAGGATTGTGGTATGTAAAGAGCTTCCTTTCCATTCAACTTTTCAATCCTCAACTGCCATAACCTATTCAAATTATTCTCCTACCATACTCTTCCTGGTATTATAACTTTGCAAATTCTATTTCTTCTCTCAAAAATGCTCTCTCTGCAGCCTGCTCCCTTCAACCATCTATTGACTCAATAAACTCATTATTCAAGCCTAGCTTAAATTTAAAACTCCAGTGTAACATCTTTTCTACTCCTCCCAGGCAAAACTGCTATAACCGTCTATGCATAATAATGGCTTTTAAAAAACACATTCACTAATAAATATAATGCATAGGCTACTTTAGAGTATAAATTGTGCTTTGTATCTCATGTGGATGGAAGGGATTTCAAGAGATCCAGGCTTAAATACTCACTGCCGCCTGTCCAGTGAGAAAATAAAAATAAAAATTACTTCCCGGAAACTCCTGTAAAATTACTAGGATTCACTTGCCTTTGGACACATGCCCTACTAAACTAATCATTATTATTAGTTAACAATCATTGCCAGGGAGTTATGATTTTTATTATCCATCAGGTTCATAATGGGAAATACCGACGGCACGCTTAAATTAGGATAATGCAGAAAGAACGTATTGATATAAGAACTATTTATAAAGATGTGGTGTGGGGAAGGGAGCTTAATCAATAGTCTAGGCAGGCTGCCTGTTCACCATGGCCAGGTATGAACATAGATGTCGGAATTACACATGACCAGCACCCAGAGACAAGTCCCAATGAGCCACCAGTGCCAATTTGGTGTGAGAGACAACTCTCGAGCAGCAGATGATAATTGCTTATGCCACTGCTGAAACCTCGTCTGCTCAGCAGGCAACCAGGGAAACTAATTTCCATGCAGAAGCCATGCCCAGATCCTATTACCCACCTCATTGTTGCCAACGGGCAACATCTTTGCAGAATTTGTGGCCTCAAGTAGAGAAAATGTCTTAACAACAACTATATTATTCATCATGCTGAATCCTCCCTCAGCTTCTGCTGATATCTCAGCAGAATATTTTAAAATCCGCCAAGATTTTTCCATATTCAGTATTTCTATTATCAATGCACGTTAAAGTAAGAGAACAATTTTTCCATAGTTGTTTTGACTGGCTCGTACTAATGAGTCTATTTCCGAGTGCATGTTATTAAATTTACTGCTTGTTATAGTCTTAATATTTTATTTACCAGCTGGTATAGAAGCATTTCTATATTTTTATCAACAAATATGGCTGCTTGTATCTCTACTAGTATAAGAAAAAAAAGGTTTAGATGCCTGGCAATCTTTTTTTAAAAAATGACTACCAGAATGCGTTTATCTCATCATATTGCAGTGATTCCTATATGTAATAGTGAGCTATTTGAGAAAATGTTTTATGGCATATTCATTTTTATATCCAGAGTGCCAACTATAATGCTGGAACTAAATAAATGTTTGCAGAGTAGGTGTATGTGTCTTTTCCTGAACTACTGATCAGCAATATTCTTCCTGATTGCATGAGCTGCATCTTTTATGCATATGTACTACATATAGAAACCAATACACACTGTATTGCTTAATAAACATTGATTGATTGATGCTCAAAACTTAGGAAACAAGTTTGGAGGTTTAGCATTTATGTTCTCCAGTATTTTTTAATTCCATTCAGATGACAGTTCAGATTTGTTCTGTGCTAAGTCACAACTAGGGAATATATAAATCCATCATCCTTTAACCATGTCACTTCTGAAATATCCAACATACTCTATAATATTTTATAATTTTATCTAAAACATATGAATTTTATTAGTATCGGTCTCAAGTGTACTTATTTATTAAAATACTTTCAACCTAGAAATAATAATTGCTACTCTTATAGGAGTAACCAAAGTCAACGAAGTCTAGAAGTAATCAGAGTAACTTAATCAGAGTAACTAAATAAGAACTTCTTATGTTTAAAATGTTAGTCCAAAAATCTTGGAGAAAATGAATGCTTCAAAAATCTCCAAAAAGGAGAAAAAAATCCAAATCTCAAAAAAAAATCCAAATCTTGCAAAAATCCAAATTTTGGAATCCAAGATTTGGATTTTTCTAAAAAAATCTTGGAGAATTGATACTATTTGGTATCAATTTCAGTATTCTCAAATGGTAAAAAGAATGTTAAGTCAAAGTACTTTAAGTTTTCCTTTCTTATCATTCAAATACAGACAAATGTGTCCTAATTATCTTGGAGCTGAATCTCAGTGTTAGTATGTTAATTATGTCCCGTTCTTCAGTGTGTATCTTTGCATTCCATGATAATTTACTGTCTAAAACAGGAAGAAACAAGATATTTTATTCTACAGCATTAAGTAAAGCCAATAAAATAAAATAAAAATAGATACCCTTCTTATTTAAAATCATGGACTTTTTAAACTTTAGATAAAGTCAGTGTACATTGCTACTAAACATACTAAACAAGTCTCAGCCAATCACTGCCTGCCTTATCCAAGTTTAAAAGGTAAGTTTTTCCTCATATTTTAGTTGATAGCCTTGGTTAGTGAGCAAACTGGAAGACCAGATTGCATTTGAGCAGAGCTCCAAATCATGGCCATATAACATCTGCCTTGTGTTGACTGCTGAACATTCTGTAATACCATTAATTGAAGATGACAAATCAACTGCCCAATTTCAACTGACAGCAATTAGCACTCACACTATGTTACTAGACTTCTGCTTTATGTACCAGCCCCACCAAGCCATGAGTGCCCGATAAATGTCAGTATTAATCATTTGTCTTGTTTATGCTACTCAGTTAATCAGCTGGTACTTATTAAGCCTACCTGATGTAAAATGTACTTTAAGTATAAAGCTTAAGAGAATCAAAAGAGAAAAGTAGATTAAAGATTAAAAAAGAGAATGAATACTTTTAATTTAACATATTTACAAAAGAAAGATAGAATACAATGGAAGAGCATACATTATGATCAGGTGAAATACCTTTTGTTCCATTAATTACATTTGTATAAAATATAAGTAACAGTCTAGTTCCTGGTGCTAGTAAAAAACAAAAATAAAAGAGAGGGAAATAAATATGTTGTCCCTGAAATTGCTTAAACTGTGCCAGCTTAGCTTGATTAACTAATTATTATGGATCAAAAAAAAATCTAGCTGGACACCATGGCACACACCTATAATCCCAGTTATTCAGGAGGCTGAGGAGTTCAAGTCAAGTCTGGGCAACATAGCAAGACCCCCATCTCTTAAAAAAAACTGAAGTTGTTAAATCAAATATCATCACTAAAATTAATTTTCTTTTGAACATCACAACAGCTTTCAATAAGTTTTAACACACCCTAAGCATGTTATATTTTTCTAAATAATTTAACATATTTTTATTCATGTTTAAGAAAAATAGCTATTGTCACCCCTGATTTTGAGATAGACCTTGTCCAACCCAATATTTTTCCCTAGATTAAGGTATTTATCAGATAGCTAACTTTACAAACAAAAGTTTTAAAATATTTTTCATATCTTGCACGTAGTTAAATATCAACTTTTTAGTAACTTTCCAGTAAGGGCACAGAATATCCAGATTCTTTGTCTAGTTCCTGGTGATAACCACTTACATAATACATTATTATATCCAATGTCACTATGGTGTGAAGTATTTGCCTTGCTTATTACTCAAGGAGAGGGAAGGGTAGTCAAGGCGGAGGAAAAGATCATGACCATAAACTTTCAAAATTTCCATCTCTAGCTTGCTAACATATTACCTGTTTTTCATTTTAACTTACATAATAGGAGAATATACCATTCCTCATGTATGGTAATTGTACATTATTTCCTCCCACCATCCCCTTACATATTGTAGAATTAGAAAACTTGATATTAGACAGTGATGGTACTATGGATCCCATCAAAGGAAGACTGGGGTAAAAATTGAAATGCTTTTTACCCAGCTAGACTTATTTCATAACTATTATCAACATTAACCACAATCCTAAAGGTAGAGTTGCTAGCCCTATACTCCAGATGACAAATAATAATATTAAGTTTTTTAGAAGCCAGGTACCTAACAGATTTATATGTAATCTTCAACAACCCTTCATAATGTTTGACATTTATTTTTTCCCTCTACAGATAATGAAGCTGAGACTTTTTTTTTTTTTTTTTTTTTTTGAGACGGAGTCTCACTCTGTCGCCCAGGCTGGAGTGCAGTGGCTTGATCTCAGCTCACTGCAAACTCCACCTCCCGGGTCCACGCCATTCTCCTGCCTCAGCCTCCTGAGTAGCTGGGACTACAGGCACCCGCCAGCACGCCCAGCTAATTTTTTTCTTTTTTTTTTTTCTTTTTTTTTGTATTTTTAGTAGAGACAAGGTTCACCTTGTTAGCCAGGATGGTCTCGATCTCCTGACCTCATGATCCGCCCACCTTGGCCTCCCAAAGTGCTGGGATTACAGGCATGAGCCACTGCTCCCCACCAAAGCTGAGTCTTTTAAAGCTGAAATGACTTTCCTGAGCTCACACACACTATTATGTGGGGGAGTCACTTTAAATGAATTTTTCTTGAAATCTAGTGTCACAGGATCCTTAAGGTGTCACTTTTCCAGCCACAAGCCAATGTGGCTAGTGGCACCTTTGCCTTAGTTTTACTCAGACCCACTGGACTTGTTCTTCCCACTCATCCTGGAAGTCTGCACTTAGCTCATGCTACTGGCCCAGATCCCATGCTTGCCAAGGGTGAGCTAGATGCATAGAGGCAAGAGGTATGTGAGTGAGTGAGTGCAGGGTCCAGCCATTGCACACAGCCAGGCAAGCTGGCAGCTGCAGAGGGGCGGGCAGCTCCAGGAGCTGGCATAGGTGCCAGCTTCATGCAAGCCTGCAGCTGGATTAGATGCACCACAAGCAGGTTCCATTGTGGGCACCCACCTCTGGATGAGGGGAACATGGTGGCACTCAGAAGGTTGAAGACTCCAGAAATCGCAGAGACCCCAAAGAGGGTGTCATCTCGAGTGCACCACTCCCTGAGCTCCCAGAAGGGCCGCAGCTCTTCTTTCCTTCTCATCACCCACAACTTGATGAGTCGGGGAGCTGTGTTTCAGTCCTGTTTGTGTTACAGCTCTTTCATTTGACAGGTCCTGAGTTCTTGGAAGTTCAGGAAGAATGATAACTAGAGAGTGAGCAAGGTGAAGGGCTGCTTTATTGAGCAACAGTACAGCTCTCAGTACAGTACAGCTCTCAGTACAGTACAGCAACAGTACAGCTCTCAGGAGACCCAGAGTGGTTAGCTCCCATCCACAGGCAGGTTGTCTGTGGCCCTCAGGGGAGAAGAGACCCAGTACCTCCTATTTGCAGGCAGGTCATCCTGACATTTGTGGAGCCCTCAGCAGAGAGGAGTCCAGGAGTGGATAGCTCCTTTCCCCAGGCAGGTCATCCCAATGTCTCTGTGAGTCTGGCTGAGTCCAGGATTTTTATAGGCTTCAGAAGGGAAGAAGTGAGTGCTGATTGGTTTATGGGTGGGCCTAGAAGGAGAGAGGGAGAGAGGGAAAGAAAGAGAGAGATGGGAAAGACTGAAGGTCCTATTGCTGCACCCTAATGGGCAATCAGGGACTGGAGTGGAAAGAAGGATGGAAGGAAGGGAGGGAGGGAGGGAGGAAGGAAGGAAGGAAGGAAGGAAGGAAGGAAGGAAGGAAGGAAAAGAGAGAGATGGGAAAGACTGAGGGTCCTAGTGCTACACCCTAATGGGCAATCAGGGACTGGAGGGGAAGGAAGGGAGGGAAGGAGGGAGGGAGGGAGGGAGGGGGGGAGGGAGGGAGGGAGGGGGGGGAGGGAGGGAGGGGGGGAGGAAGGAAGGAAGGAAGGAAGGAAGGGAGGAAGGAAGGGAGGGAGGGAGGGAGGGAGGGAGGGAGATGGGAAAGACTGAGGGTCTTAGTGCTACACCCTAATCGGCAGTCAGGGACTGAAGTCAGTCCAGGGGCCTTTGGATAATACCAAGGAGTAGCCTCAGCCAGATACCTTCAGTTGCCCCAGGACCTCCTTCCAATCCACACAACCGCTAGACCTCCATGAAGGGAAACTGGATTGGAACAAAGCCCACATTCCCAACACCAGAGGGTGATGGGGGATTGACAGTGTTCTCCCTGGCAAGCCTGTCCTCTGTGTCCTAAGTCCGGCAGCCACGATAGTCATTTCTAGTTGGCCGACAGAGACCCAGTATTTTCCTTTCATTCTGTTGACTGTGGAGTTTAGGGACTCTGAAAAATGAACAGAAAGCAGCAAATCCACTAGTACTCACCCTTCCACAGATCCTGGATGAGCCCCTAAAAATGTCACAAGATCCTTAGGTTGTCACTTTTCCAGTCAGAAGCCTCTGTGGCCAGTAGCACCTTTGCCTGAATTTTACTCGGCCCACTGGGCTTGTTCTGCCCACTCAGCCTGGCAGGCTGCTCTCAGTTTGGCTGCCAGCCAAGACCCCATGCCTTCCAAGGCATGGAGTGGAGCAGCAAGGGGTGCATGAGCAAGTGAGCATGGGATCCAGTTACTGCACATAGCCAGGCGCGCTGGCTGCTGTGGCAGGTCAGGCAGCCCCAGGTGCCACCTCTGTGCAACCCTGCAGCTGAATCAGATGCTCTGCAAGCAGCTTCTGCTGTGGGCGCCCATATCTAAATGAGGAGAATGCAGTAGCACCTGGAAGCATGAAGATGCCAGGAACTGCAGAGCCCCGAAGAGAGTGCCTCAGCCCTGGTTCAGGGAGCCCTTACATCTGTGTTCCTGGAAAGGCCACAACTCTTCTCTCCTCATTGCCCACACTGTGGCAAGCAGCAGGGTGTGTTTCAGCCCTGTTTGTGTTACAGCTCTTTCAGTTCTGCCATTCAGTGGGTCCCAAATTCTTGTCCTGCTTCAAGGAAGAGTGAGGTACATGGACAACTGGAGAGTGAACAAGGCAAAGGAATGCTTTATTGAGCAATATTACAGCTCTCAGGCTACCTGGAGTGGGTAGCTCCTATCTGCAGGCAGTCATCCTGATGACATCTCTCCACCCCTCAGCAGAGCGGAGACCTGGAGTGGGTAGCTTCTACCTGTAGTCAGGTCATCCCAACATCTGTGCAGCCCTCAGTGGAGAGGAGACCCAGAGTGGGTAGCTCCTATCCATGGGCAGGTCATCTTGTCATCTTTCCAAATCTGGCTAAGTCCAGGGTTTTTATGGGCTTCAGAAGGGAGGAAGTGCATGCTGACTGGTCCATGAGCAGCCATGGGTGGGCCTGGAAAAAGCACCATAAGTTTTCATGCCTGGCTATGGAACAGGCAGCCCAGGCTCCAGGCTTCAGACCATCCCTGGCTTGAACATGGGGTTTCACTGGGGGCTTGCTCCTTTCCACCCAGGAGCCTGTCTGCCTCCTGCCACCATCAATTACATCATCCATGGTGCTCAGGCTGTACTGAGGGGCATCTGCAGGCCTGCACCTAGCTGCCCTCAGTCCCCCCTCGGCCTCTCTCCCATTCTTGTCAGTGCCCAAAGTCCAGAGGATGCCAAGGCGGCAGGGGGCTGTCATATCATCACTGCTTCAAGCACACACACAACACTCGGGCTCGGCTTCAACTTTGCTCCTAAATGAGAGTGGGTGCTGGGAGTGGGGAGAGATCAGGCAGCAAGAGTAGGCACTTCTGAACCTGCAGGGGCAGGGAGGGTTCCCATGACCCTGAGAGCATAGGAATGTCCAGGTCCACAGCTGTAGCTGGGGGGCTGCTGCTGCACCTGGGGGGGTGGGGCTCCCACCCCACCAACTCAGAAGGGTGCAGGGTTCTCACCTGTTCCCAGCTCCCGCCAGCTCCCTGAAGTGCACAGCCCAGCCTTCACCTCACCTGCCACAGCTGGTCTGTTTGCAGCAACCTCTCCAGATGGGCCACCACTACCATCACTAGCACTTACGGGTTTGTTTTATGTTTTGGGTTTTTTTGTTTGTTTGTTTTTTGGAGATGGAGTCTTACTCTGTCACCCAGGCTGGAGTGCAGTGGTGCAATCTCAGCTTACTGCAACCTCCACCTCCCAGGTTCAAGCAATTCACCTGCCTCAGCCTCCTGAGTAGCTGGGACTACAGCCACACACTGCCATACCCGGCTAATTTTTTGTATTTTAGTAAAGACAGGGTTTCACCGTGTTGCCCACGCTAGTCTCGAACTCTTGAGCTCAAGCAATCTGCCCACCTCAGCCTCCCAAAGTGCTAGGATTACAGGTGTGAGCCACCATGCCTGGCCGCAATTGTGGGTTTTATTCACAGTAGTTGGTAGTCTCTTAATTAATTGAAGTCATAATCTCAGGAATAAACATCAGTTTCTATTACCTTCACAACTCCACTTCTGCCATATCTCCCCACCCTTCCTTTACATTCCACCCCACACACTCAACTTCTTTTCTCTTTAGGTTTCAGCAACAGTCAAACAAAGCAAATAGTACAACCTACTGAGTCTGTACATGTGTATTTCCTCTCTTTTCCATAGCAGGTGCTCCTGTAGCTGGTTTCAGTGTGTTCATTGAATGTGGTGTCATTTTCTCTAAGATTGTCATTGTTGCAATTTAATTATTTTCTCAAGTGTGGCAGACTAACAAGCAGATGTCTCTTGAAAACAATAACCAGATCCATTTAAGCAATGAGGTGTGCGTATATGTAAATTCCATTTAAAATAAGAATGCCTTCTTCTTTCTTTTTTTTTTATGTCTCACTCTGGCCTGTCACCCAGGCTAGAGTTCAGTGGCAGATCTCAGCTCACTGCAACTCCACCTCAAGCAGTTCTCATGTCCAAGCTTTCCGAGTAGCTGGGATTACAGGCAACTGCCACCACACCTGGCTAATTTTTGTATTTTTAATAGAGATGGGGTTTCACCTTTTTGACCAGACGGGTCTCAAATTCCTGACCTCAAGTGATCCACCCACCTTGGCCTCCCAAAATACTGGGATTACAGGCATAAGCCACTGTGCCCTGCCCTTTCTAAATATTTTTAAATATCGAGATATTTTTAAATATCTCAGATATTTTCTACATATCTAAGCTAGAGAAAGGGACTTCTAAAAATCTTAAGGGTGTTGCCCCACAGCCCTAATAGTCTAAGAATAGTCTGAAATAGTCTGAAAAAGAAGAAAGTCTGTCTTGGAAAGAATTATGCATATGACATTTGGGGCACGTAGTGACTGTCAATCCGATTCATAGGGAGACACAAAGTTTTGAAGAAAACTATACTAACTTGGACTAAAAGGGAAAGAGCTCAAAATGAAAAGACTTTCTGTAGGCAGAAAGCAGGCTAAGAAGGCTACTTAGCTATAATCCAGACTACTTTCCAGAGACCAGACAGGATCTCTTCAAGAGCAGAGTCAAGAGCCTGGAGGGCGTTTCAAGAGCCGTGGAGTGCAGTGAATTAGAGAACCAAATCAGAAGCAGAAGTGGGCCCTAGTGAAGGTAAATTTCTAACCCTCAGAGGAGAGCACTCTGATAACATTTGTCTGGGTGAATTTCAGGTCAGTGGCCACTATGTGTTTCCCATTTCCTTATCTTTTTGAATAGGGGTGTCTATTGCAATTATCCTGCCCTCAACTCACCATTACATATAAAGGATTGGAGAACAAATAAATCGCCTGTTTAGTTTACAGCTCTCTGAGTCAAGATGCACTGCAGCCTCAAGGAGCCTCATCTGTTTCTTGACTTGATACAATACATGAGATCATGGACTTCAAAGACTGGTGCCATGATTAGATGAGATCTGGGGGAGCTTGGGGAGCACGTGAATATATTTTGCTTATGAAATGGATGGAAGTCATTGGAGCCAACAGACAAACTAACGGGAACATAATTCATAAACTAAGAAAGAATAGGTCAGACATCTAGGAAACACAAGCACACCCCTAAGTTGGACATGGACAGTTAAAGCAAGACATGGTGGGGAGAGATGAGTATTCAAAGCCAAAAAGTTAAGTGTACAAATCTGAGAAGTGTATGTCAGGATCCTAGAGGCCAGATCCAGCAGGCAGTGATTTAAAAAAATAGGGAAAAGAAAATGTATACATATACATGGCAAATATAGGCAAGGTTCCATTGACTGAAGTGCTGTAAAAGCCTTGCAGAGTTTCCCATCTCTCTCAGTAAGCAGGTCTTCACTGATACAGAAGAGTTATGGAGCAATCCTATACATTTTCATACTCCAGCCCTGGAATCACTCCCTAAATTCAAAACTCTACAATCCCAGGCTCGGAACCTAACTGCAATCTCATCTTTTTGTCATCCTTGCACATTACCTGAGCCCACTTTACACCTGCTCCTGAACCTCATCAGGACCTCAAATTACTCAATGCTGGCCTATTTTCTCAGCTTGTTGCCCTCTCTGGCCTGCTGTTTTATGAAACTAGTACTGATCCAGCACACCCAACAACATTTTCCCTTGGCCTCTGACCCCAATCTGCATCCCAATTCCTGATCCAATCCTGAATAAATTGAATTATCTTTTACTTAGCAATATAAACCCTAAATTTCAAGCACTAATGGAAGAGTAAAAAAACATAGACCATTTTTATTCCAGTTACCTTTTGAAGGTTATAATTTCAGCTATATTCTCAAAAGCATTCTTTAATCTTTTTGCTTACGCCTTTTCCCTGGAGCAGCAGCACTACTCTCTTCAAGCTGTACCTTGCCACCTGCACACCTCACTCTGCCAAAACTCAGATATCCTTTCACTTACCTTCTTAAACATTTCTAAGACTTCTGACTGCCTACAAAATAAAACCTGGTGTCCTTACCATGGCATGCAAGCCTCCTTTGTCTTCCTCAGTTAATTTTCATCTCTCACCCCCAACTCTAGCCCTAAAGTGCCTTTGCAGTAAGTAGGTAGCACATCAGACTGCTGATTTCACATGTCTGATGCATCCTGCATTTTTATGCCTCTGCTTTTGCTCATACTTTTTCCTGTACCTGCAAAGGCTTTCCCTGTTTAACCATGCTATGATTAATTAATTATCCCTCACCAGTATTTCCAGGAAACTTTATACATATCTCCATAATGCCCTTATTGCATTGTATAATTGTATTATATGTTAAGAGTTTTCATGGCCAAAGCTAGCTTCTTAATGACAAGTACAAAGTGTTGTTTTGTTTTGCTGTTTTGATTTGTTTTGTTTTGTCCAGGGATAGATTTTTCTTGGTGGTGGTAGGAAAGAGGTTTTTTTGTTTGTTTGTTTTGTTTTTGTTTTGAGACAGAGTTTTGCTCTTTCGCTTCTGTTGCCCAAGCTGGAGCGCATGGCATGATTTTGGCTCACTACAACCTCTACCTCCCAGGTACAAGTGATTCTCCTCTCTCAGCTTCCCAAGTAGCTCAGATTACAGGCATGTGCCACCACACCCAGCTAATTATTTGTATTCAGAAGAGACGGGGTTTCACCATGTTAGTCAAGCTGGTTGCAAACTCCTGACTTCAGGCCACCCACCTTGGCCTCCCAAAGTGCTGGGATTACAGGCGTGCACCACCACACCCAGCCAAAAGAGGTATTTTTATAACTCTCAGATTTATTAGCACAAAAATAACACTCACTAAAAAAGTTCTTAAAGGAATAAATGAAAGCAAAGAAATATAAGAGCAAAAGGGAAGTCTCAGAGTTGAAAAGGCAGTAAAAAAATTGGAAAGCACTATGAATACATTCCTACTGTTATAATCAACACATGTAGACCTGGTTGCTACCTTAAACATTAATTTTATTGGATATTTGCTTACACTTGAACACCCTTCTCATTTTGTAACATAATCTTTATTTTATAGAAAAAGTAGTTACTTGAGGGCTGGGCACAGTGGCTCACTCCTGTAATACCAGCACTTTGGGAGGCCGAGGCAGGCAGATCACCTCTGGTTGGGAGTTTGAGACCACCCTGACCAACATGGAGAAACCCCCTCTCTACTAAAAATACAAAATTAGCTGGGTGTGGTGGCGCATGCCTGTAATCCCAGCTACTCGGGAGGCTGAGGCTGACGAATCGCTTGAACCCAGGAGGCAGAGGTTGCGGTGAGCCAGAGATCACGCCATTGTATTCCAGCCTGGGCAACAAGAGCGAACCTCCATCTCAAAAAAAAAAAAGCAAAGAAAAAGTAGTTACTTGATAAGCCTCATGACTGAAATACAACTATTCAGTAATACATCTCCTACAGAGAGAAAAATGGTGGTTAAAAGAATAGATTTGTTCTACCAATTATTTGTTGTGTTGTCATTGTAGAGATTATTAAACATCTGTGCTTCAGTTATCTTATCTATGAAAAGAAAGACAATAATTGTACCTACCTCAAAGGTTAGTTATGAGGATTAAGCATGTTAATGCATGGAAAGCACTTAGTACATTGCATGCAGAAGTAAACACTCAGAAAAGATGAATGTTATTGTTATTCTAATTAAAACAGCCAACTTGTAGGTATTCGTGAGGTCTCAGTAGAATTGAATTTTACTTCACAATGTTATTATAAAAACTATTTGTGTATGACAACCATCCCAGGCTATTTACAATATAAAATGAATTAAACTATGCGGCTAGGAGCTAATAATTTAATCTTGAGGACAATATAATTGGATATCAAGATCAAACAAACACCTGAATATAAATAAGCATTAGATTTTAAAAACTGAGTAAGCAGAGGAGTAAATGCTTCATGCAGCTAAATCAACAAATTGGCAAACATTCATGTTGAATAAAACCTGGGGAAGTTTTCTTTCTCTGTTATTATCAAGAAGGCTGTATATAACACATGAGACTGCAGGCTCTACTTACAGACTAATCTTGATTTTTTTCCCAGTGAAGACATTCAAATACAGAATGCAGTCTATGTTCTAAGAGTAGGAGGGACATATGTAGCATACTCTATGTCCAGTAACCCAGAGATGGTCCCTAGCACCATGAAGATGCACAGCAGGAACTTAAGATATAAAGGAACAGAAAAACACCTGGTCAGAGGCCATGTCTAAATTAATAAAGGTAGATGGTTTATTACATTTCTCATTGTAAATAGCAAGAGAAATAGGAGAAAAATAAAAATAAAACCCAACGCCATTGGTTGCCTTTGTTTTTCTATTTTCTTTGTTGTCTATAAATACAACTAGCAGAAGATTAATTACAGTTCTAAATTTAACATTAAAAAGATTTCTGGAAAGCTGCAATATAAGTTATGTGACAGATAAATTTTGTCATATAATTCTAGAATATAACCCAAAATTTTTATTTTTTTCTTGGCATTAGGTACCATTTTATTGAGCTTAATTTAAATGCTACAACTTGATGCTTAGGGAAATCCATTGAATTATCAACCAATTCACCTTCTAATTTTAAGCTTGTCAATTTTGCTACATAATTAACTTTTATTATGGAAACCCACATAACTCTTTCTGACACTTTCTCCTGTTTAAAATTGTATTCAAAAGGTAATTTCAGAATAATCTCTGGAAGATCTCTTATGCCAAAATTGTTTATCAGGCAAATTAAAATGGAAAGCTATTTTTGCTCATATTATGAAAACTGTCAGCACTTTTAAATGAATTCCCATAACACTAAATAAACACCATTGCAGGCCGGGCATGGTGGCTCACACCTGTAATCCCAGCACGTTGGGAGGCCGTGGTGAGCAGATCACCAGAGGCCAGGAGTTCTGAACCACCCTGGCCAACATGGTGAAACTCCGTCTCTACTAAAAATATAGAAAATTAGCCGGGTGTGGTGACACGTGCCTGTAATTCCAGCTACTTGGGAGGCTGAGGCACAAGAATTGCTTGAACCTGGGAGGCAGAAGTTTCAGTGAGCCAAGATCATGCCACTGTACTCCAGCCTGGGGTACAGAGTGAGACTCTGTCTCAAAAAAATAAAATAAAAATAAAATAAAATAAAATAAAATAGATAAACAAATAAACACCATTCCAAAGGAATTAACCCATTAAGAAATTATTCAGTTTTTTAAATTTAATATTTAGTGCAAATTTTATGATAAGGGAATAGGGGAGATATTGGAAGTAAAGTAGAAATTAATTAATTTACCATGTTACTAATACATCTTGTTGGTTTTGAAGTAAGCATTTTACCTGTAATCATTGACCTTCTACAAATGTTTCAAGGGAAAATAGCTAAAGACTGTGAGGTTCACTGATACTAAAAACATATATCAAGAATTTTAATGGCAGTCCTGATGGTGCCTAAGCACACCATTACATCATAGGTCCTGTGATCCAATACTGATTTTAGGAAATATGGTCATAGCATAACTTTCATATCAACTGAAAAGAATAGAAACAATATGAGAGAAGGGGAGTTAAAAGACCCAGAACACAAAGTCCAAGAGCTGGATGAAGATAGCAATAAAAATACGGAAATATATATATATATAATATATGTATTTTATATATATATATATAAAAATATATGTATTATATATATATTTTATATATATAAAATATATGTATTATATATATGTATTTTATATATGTATTTTATATATATAAAATATATGTATTATATATATGTATTTTATATATGTATTTTATATATATAAAATATATGTATTATATATGTATTATATATATATAAAATATATGTATTATATGTATATATGTATTTTATATATATATGCCAGTGTAAAATAATTTAAGAAACTCCAAGAAATAAGAATGTAAAAATGAGAGACACTGAAAAAATTGTATAGCATGAAATTCAGAGGACAAAAGTCAAGAGAGAGAAACTCATAGATGTGGCAGCATTGAAAAAAAATTAGACAGATGAGAAACAGCCT
This sequence comes from Homo sapiens, assembly GCF_000001405.40. Lineage (NCBI taxonomy): Eukaryota > Metazoa > Chordata > Mammalia > Primates > Hominidae > Homo > Homo sapiens. The sequence continues at coordinate 87,988,033 of NC_000003.12, forward strand.
GTTGATTATGCCCAGAACCCTAACTCCCTGGACCAACAGCATCAGTATCACCCGGGAACTTGCTAGGAATGTAGATTTTAGAGCCCCAAGCTCACCAGACTTGCTGAGTCACCAGCTCGAGAGGGTGGGACACAGCAATCTGCTTTAACAAGCCATCCAAGTGATTCTGAGGCACTCCAAATTCAAGAACCACTTTTTTAGAGTTTCTAAGACTTTAGCCTCCATTCTTTACCAGGAGTTGCCTTAGTTGCCCTTTATAACTGGCTAAATGTTGACATAAAAAAAAAAAACAGAAAGGCAACTACTTCTCAAATACACAATAGACAATCACTCTTTTTCAGGTATTCAAATACCAGAAAGGTATTCAAATTTCTTCTGCCACTCAATTTGCTTAACAGCACTTGCCTTCAGTGAATGTCTGAAGAGAAAAATTAAATTTAGTACTGTTAACCCAAGCAGTTACTAAAAATTAAATTTAGTACTGGTACCCAAAGTAGAACAGAATAGAAAATACGCTGCATTTCAAAGTTTTTTGTTTTGGTTTGTTGTTGTTCTTGTTGTTGTTGTTTGAGATGGTGTATCGCTCTGTTGCCCAGGCTGAGGTGCAGTGGCACGATTTTGGCTCACTGCAACCTCCACTTCCCGAGTTCAAGCACCTCCGAAGTAGCTGGGACTACAGGCGTGTGCCACCAAGCCCCAATAATTTTTTTTTTTTTTTGTATTTTTAGTAGAGACAGGGTTTCACCATGTTGGCCAGGATGGTCTTGAACTCCTGACCTCAAGTGATCCCCCTGCCTCAGCCTCCCAAAGTGCTGGTATTACAGGAATGAGCTACCGGGCCTGGTTCAAGGTGTTTTATAATATACCTAACCACATTATATGTATGATTACTCATATTCTTATGAAGTACTTGATATAAAAATTAAGTATTTTAAAGTATTAATTTATCAGTTCCAACAAATAAAACAGAACTACGTTAACATTAATTTAAGGAATATGAAAATATAGTAATAGCTCTACCTAAGAATATCAGGTCTCCATATTGTCCTTTCCTAAAATATTAGTAACTACTAAAAAGTTATTAGAGAGAAGAGGATTGATTTAAAAAAATGCTATTTATCAAAGATATTAATTCTATTTTATTATACTCCAAATGTTCTTAATTGACTTGTAATTAATATAATGGACTAAAGCAAAACTTATAAGCCATGAATGGAGAGTCCTTTTTCAGAAGCAAGGTAACCCGGTCATTACAATGGTGACTTATACAGAAGAATAATTTCCATTTCAGAGTGAGTGCCATTAGGGGCTGTCCTTACTAGTAAGTTTCTTTGGTAACGGACTTGTTTGATCATAGCTGTCATTATTATAATGGGCAGTGTTGTACGATTATTTGATTCCAACTAATCTTATTCTATCTTTTTAAACCAAATTAACTACTTATATCCACAAAGACAAGTAAGCACTCTGACATTTTCCTAATTTCATACAATGATCATGGAATGCTAAGGATATACTAATTTTTTTTGCTATTTCTCTTTATATAACCTCCATAGCTTGACATAAAATATACTAAAAGTTCCTTTAGTCTCCATAAGCCTAATGATAATGTTCTCAATGTAACTTTCAATTAAGTACAAAATTATTATTTTGAATAGTTTTTAATATAATATTTTCTTATATTGCATCATACAGTGCACAAATGGTGTGTGCTTTTGTTCCCAGACCAAACCGAGGGTCAGGCTGCTATTTTTCGCAGCCCAATAACGAGATGCAGATGAACTGGGGAGAAAGAGAGTTTTTATTTCTGTAACCAGTTACAGGGAGAAGGCCTGGAAATTACAAAGTTTTCCAGAGCTTAAATACCTTCTAAGCTATATGTCTTCATGTAAGTGTGCATTCATCTAAAGACAAAGAAGATTAACTTCTTTTAATTTATAACTGAGGTCTGAGTCCTGAAGGCCTTCTTCTGGAGCCTCAGTAAGTTTACTTAATCTAAATGAGTCTAGGTGCTGGGGTGATTACCCTTTTCTTGTCTCCTGCTAAATCGTAAAGGTTTGGGGAGTTCCTTTAGACCCCAATAAACTTGTTCGTGGAGTTTCTTCAGACCCCCAATAAAACTTGTTCATCCTAAATGGATCCTGTTAAGAATTCCTTTGTTATTTTGTCATGCTTCAAGCCTAGGAAAAGCCTAAGCAAAACTCTTGGTGGGCTCTTTGTTACATTCCAGCCTTTGAATAAGGGCACTGGCTCTATCAGCTTTGAATATATAACTCAACTAGTCAGTCAGTAGTACTGAAACAGTTGTTACGGAGGCCTGCGTTATTGAGATCGGGCCTGCCACACTTTTAAACTTTTTCTGACATGGACAAAGAGAAAAACCAATTCTATAATGGCAGAGATTTCACTGAGTAACAAGCTAGAGTATTCATTAAAAATTGTTGTATTTAACCTATATTTTAAGAAATGTTTTGGAAGTTACTGGCTTTTTTTACTGTTCTCATTAAATTTCTTAAATAAAAAGGAAAACTAAAACCTTCAATCTGAACCTCATTTTTTTAATCTATAGAATATTCTGGGTAAACATAACATACACTTTTTAAAAATTATTCTGAAAGGAAGAGAAAAGTTCTTGAAGCCTTCTCTGAACTGTTTTTTCTCTTCCCTTGTTACAGGTATCCATTTTTCAGCTATATTAATCTTTTAAAACAAAGAAAATGGATTTCTTAAATTCATCTGATCAAAACTTGACCTCAGAGGAACTGTTAAACAGAATGCCATCCAAAATTCTGGTGTCCCTCACTCTGTCTGGGCTGGCACTGATGACAACAACTATCAACTCCCTTGTGATCGCTGCAATTATTGTGACCCGGAAGCTGCACCATCCAGCCAATTATTTAATTTGTTCCCTTGCAGTCACAGATTTTCTTGTGGCTGTCCTGGTGATGCCCTTCAGCATTGTGTATATTGTGAGAGAGAGCTGGATTATGGGGCAAGTGGTCTGTGACATTTGGCTGAGTGTTGACATTACCTGCTGCACGTGCTCCATCTTGCATCTCTCAGCTATAGCTTTGGATCGGTATCGAGCAATCACAGATGCTGTTGAGTATGCCAGGAAAAGGACTCCAAAGCATGCTGGCATTATGATTACAATAGTTTGGATTATATCTGTTTTTATCTCTATGCCTCCTCTATTCTGGAGGCACCAAGGAACTAGCAGAGATGATGAATGCATCATCAAGCACGACCACATTGTTTCCACCATTTACTCAACATTTGGAGCTTTCTACATCCCACTGGCATTGATTTTGATCCTTTACTACAAAATATATAGAGCAGCAAAGACATTATACCACAAGAGACAAGCAAGTAGGATTGCAAAGGAGGAGGTGAATGGCCAAGTCCTTTTGGAGAGTGGTGAGAAAAGCACTAAATCAGTTTCCACATCCTATGTACTAGAAAAGTCTTTATCTGACCCATCAACAGACTTTGATAAAATTCATAGCACAGTGAGAAGTCTCAGGTCTGAATTCAAGCATGAGAAATCTTGGAGAAGGCAAAAGATCTCAGGTACAAGAGAACGGAAAGCAGCCACTACCCTGGGATTAATCTTGGGTGCATTTGTAATATGTTGGCTTCCTTTTTTTGTAAAAGAATTAGTTGTTAATGTCTGTGACAAATGTAAAATTTCTGAAGAAATGTCCAATTTTTTGGCATGGCTTGGGTATCTCAATTCCCTTATAAATCCACTGATTTACACAATCTTTAATGAAGACTTCAAGAAAGCATTCCAAAAGCTTGTGCGATGTCGATGTTAGTTTTAAAAATGTTTATTATTGAAGGATGGGGGTTTTTGAGGGGAGGAATAACTAGATGAATGCCAAATAATAAAACACTTAAGCTTTTAGAGGGAAATACATGAAAACTGCTAAATTGATAAGGCTATAATTTATATTTTAATAGCAATGTGAATATAAAAGTTATTGATCACCACTATTCTAGGGTATTCAAAATTAGAAAATAATTTATGTAGGTTATAAACAATATTTTGCCTATGCAATGTTCCTAAAAAGCTAACTGGAAAAAATATATATATATACAATAGTAATGACAGTGATTTTCCATGTTTACATCTTACAATAATTATAGAGGAGTTTTCAATTAACAACATACCTCCCTCCATAATTTCTATCTAGTCCTACTGTTTTATAATATAATTCTATTATTTTGTATAAGAAAATATAATTCACCACAAAGTACACATTTCTCCTGTCTCCATTCTTGTCCCTTCTCCATCTTACCCTGAGCAAAAGGGAGGGGGAAGGAGCAACTCTTACTTAGTGTGACTGCAGAAAATGTAAAAAAGTCAGAGCTTGAAATTGTCCTTGTGTTTAGGTAGCAAAGAGTAATCATAAAGTGGGTTAGGTACAGCAAAATAATTCAATACTGAACTTGTGCATATTTAATGTATTATGTTTGATATAAACTTCTAGAATAATATTATCTTATCCTTATATTATCAGCATTTGAAATCAAAGCCTTACCTTAGTAACAATAACTCAACAAAGGGGCATGGGTGACGTTGTTATAATTGCTCTCTGTTTACTTAGGAATCAAATTTAAAGCACTAAATATCATAGATTACTCACCACAGTTATACTCTTAACATCTTTTTAAAAGTATAAAATGTATTTCATTTCTGTTAATAAGCTCAGTTATTAACTAAATTGTCTGTGGTATTTTGCACTTCAGTATTTTCCATACCTTTGATTTCAACATTATTTCCCGTTTACTAGACAGAATATAATGGAAATTTTTAGAACTTTCCCTTTACTTTAAAATATTTCTACTTTTCCAATTGGTAGAAATGAACAGGAAAAAAGACTCATATTACACTAATTAATAAATGTACACACATATATATTTTTGTAATTAGTCACTCTACTAGTTCAGTGAGCCAAAGCAATTCCATAAGTTTTTCTTCCATATTTATAAAAGGATTTGAAAACAATAGAACCATGAGTTTGAGAGGATTTTATTTTATTTGAACCAGCAAGGTCATAGACTACCTTTGGGAAGACCTATCATCAACCAAGATCGTTTGAAAAACAATATATACCTTTTTTTAAGTTGTACATTTATGTGCATTGTAAATATTCCTTCCTGATGGTGTGGTTAAGAGTACATTACATCAATTTTATGTATATATAGATCTGTGACAAATTACTCTCAATCTAACAAACATTTACAGAGTTCCCATTTTATACAAGGCATTGAGACATATACTAGATAGAAGATATACGAAATAATAAAATACAGTTTTTTTTCCTGAATATGTTTACAGTCTAAAAGGAGAAACAAGAAAAAATAAAACTATAATAGAAAAGAGCAAACTAAAATCTGGCATGGAAGTTGTTTACACAGTTATGATGGTGCAGAGGAAAAACTGATCGCATCTTGTTTAGAAAAATCAGAAATATTTCACAAAGAATGTATCTAGAACACATGTCAAATACACAGCACTGGGGCAAGAAAAATGGAAGAGCACACTCCAGGTTGTGACAACATCAGGATACAAACTGCACCATGCAAGTATTTGGTGGGGCATGTTCATAAATAGCAATGAGTTTGGCAACTATTTAGAGCAATAGAGGAAAAGGATATTAAAAGAAAAATTGGGCATTTTTGTGGCTGACTTTGAACGTCAGAAAAAAGTCTACAGTCAATTTTATTGCTGACGATGGGTAATCACTGATACTTTTAGCAAAAATATTACAAGTTTAGAGCAAATCTAAACAAAAAAGAAAGAAAAAAAATGGATCTGTCTCAATGCCATCAGAGAGAAAGCAGCGTTATTATTGAGATGATGACTTCCCGTTAGAAAGCAAATCAGTAATCCAGGCAAGAGGTGATGAAGTCCTGAACTTGATTCTAGCAATGGGAATAAAAAGAAAGAAACAGATGAAAGATGGTACGAAGAAGTACAATCCTCAGGTTATAATAAATTATTTAATAAGCAAGCAGTGGGAGAGACATGAGTCTATGAGATAACATCCTTAACCAAAATGAAGAACCCAACAGAAAGGGCCTATTGGTGAAACGGTTACTTCTTTTTTGGGTATGTTAAACACATAAAGATATGTCAGAGCTCATAGATACTAATGACCATGTCTTGCTCAAGCCACACTGACAAGTAGATGAGGTTTCTCTCTGACCTCAAAACTGACAGGTAAACGAGTGTCCCAGCCATCTCTTTTGTCCTCACTTCACTTGACCGCCCAAGGGCCCTTATGCTGAGTTGACAGGCCAAAGCTGGCCATAGTCCCTGTCATTCTCTGTTTACTTCTCTTTCCCTTCTCTTCTCACTTACCAAAATTTAATTCTGTGATTTCTTCATTCAATGACTTTGCTCTAAAGTTAAAATTATCTGTTGAGTTAATTTATTTATACTTATCTCAGACATTTATATATTTGTATTGGGAAACTAAGAGACACAACCATTGAACAACCCAAGGAGAGTGAGGCTCACCCAGATACAGACACTGCCCTCTGATCTGAGTTGGACTGAGACCCAAATCTAGGAAAATAACGCTGTAAGTGACAAAGTCATAGATCCCTTCAGAGCTCAGAGGAGAATCAAGTTTATCATTACTGTGTATGATCCAAAGAACCACAACAAATTCCAATTATTATCACTTCATCTATGTGTTTCCCCTACATGCTGAGGGTACAGAGCATGCCTTCCTTCCTGAAAAAAATATGAATATGAATATTTAGTTATTTTATTTTATTGAGTCAGGGTCTCATTCTGTTGCCCAGGCTGGAGTGCAATGGTGTGATCTTCGCTCACTGCTACCTCCGCCTCCTGGGCTAAAGCCATTCTCCCACCTCAGCCTCCTGAGTAACTGGGACTACAGGCATGCATCACTGCACCCGGCTAAGTTGTCTTTTGTAGAGACGGGGTTTTACCACATTGTCCAGGTTGGTCTTGGACTCCTGAGCTCAAGTGATCCTCCCACCTCAGCCTCCAAAAGTGGTGGGATTATAGGTGTGAGCCACTGCAACTGGCCTATTTTATTTTTCTAGAGACAAAGTCTCATTCTGTTGCCCAGGCTGGAGTGCAGTTGTACAATCACTGCTCACTGCAATCTTGAACTCCTGGGGCTCAAGTGATCCTCTCACCTCAGTCTCCCAAGTAGCTGGAACTACAGGCATGCACCACCACCCCCGGATAATTTTTTTTATTTCTTACTTTTCGAAGAGATGACGTCTTGCTGTGTTGCCCAGGCTGCTCTCAAACTCCTGGCCTCAAGTGATCCTCCCACCTTGTCTTCCCAAAGCATTTGGATTACAGGCTTGATCCACCACACCTGGCCTCTCTTTAATATCTTTAAAGTGGTAGGGTCAGATAGGTTATGTAGAGATTAATCATCTACAATTTGTGCTTTCTTTGAAATTTATGAAGGACAGATTACAATTAACATGATATATTTCTCTGAATACATAGGATTTCAATGAGATTTTTCTCTCATTGAAAAATCCTCCAAGTTACTAATAGCTAAGCATTTTTACAGAAATATATATATATATTTGGCACCTATAACAAATGTAGCAATATAAGGATTTATGTATTTAACCGATAAGGTAGAAAAAGAAAATATAAATATCATAGAAATAGTTAAATACCAGATAAGGAGGAGTTACCTCCTGCTAGGATTTCAAACATACTGGCACTAGAAAATTAAATGAAAATTTTATTTTTGCTCCACTCCTCTAAAACTTATCAAGTGATGAAAGGCATGGAAAAAAGACCAAAGAAAAATAGAAAGTCACACTACTAAAAACTAAATTCACTCCAATACTCTACCAATAGACATACCTATGTAAAAATTATGCTTGAAAATTCACTTCTGCTTGTGAAACATGGTCTTAATTGTAGAACTGGTTTAAGTATATGGATTGTCTGGGTTAACTGAATTTTTTTGATTTTGGTTTTGTTCTGTTTTACAATAAACCCACAGGGTCAAATCTACAGCACAGTTTATCCAAGTCCTGGCAGTCGATGGGTCCATCCTTAAGTAGGGCCAATTTCCATTTTGAATCTCCAAAACCAGTTTCCTTTCCCTTTTGTAGTAATTTTGATTCCCCACCCACCCATCCCCAGCTTGCCCTAAGTGGTATGTCCCTTGTTTATATCAGTTATGTCAGTTCCAAATTTTAAAATTCCCTTAGCACAGCATAATCCCCATATTCACAGGCTCAAAGTTAAGCTTTTCCCTCTGTACCCAGAGAGTCCTGTGTCAAAACTAAATGGAGAATTAATTGGAAGCCAATTACTAGGCAATGCATTGATTTGCTGCACCAAATAGCATGAAAGTCGAGATTATCATAAGCTTATTGCTGAAATGCATTCCTCTATTTCAAGGAAGAAGCCATTTTCTCATGACTTTATACCAGACTATTTTTAACTCATAGGTCAAAGAATTAGGTTTACTGCTTTACAGTACAAAGGAAGCAAGAAAAATATTTCCTTAACATATCCTGAAGTCCTTCAAAAGTAATCCTGCTCAATTCAAAATGTGTCCATATTAATTTGTTTCAGAAAATGTGTTTCTAGACTCTAATAACTAGATAACTAAAATGATTATATTCAGACCTTTATTTTGCCAAAAATATTTCTAAAAGCAAACTAACATTTTTGTCATGAATAAAGTAAATATTTTCTTATGATATTGTGATAATTTTTCTTGTTCTTTTGAATCAATATGCTTTCTCTCATTATTTAAAATGAGGAACTTACTGTTGAGAGAAATATTTTCTAACATTATAATAAATACTGAGTTATTCATACAGAATATCTTCTCTGTACAAAATGTGGCATGCTTGAAGTCGATCTGGGAAGAGTAGAATTTTTTCAAAGAATTTACACACTCTGGTTAGGGCAGAAACTATAAACATTTTGTTTGAGTAAAAAAGATATTATTTTACCAACAGTAACAACAATAAATCTTGTCAAAGCAATCTTTCATCAAAACTTGTTTTTAGTTTCAGTTCCAATTTTTATCGCAGAGTTTCTTCCTCTGCAAGGACACTAAAATTACCTATTGATTTATGTAGACACAGAAAACCAAAGCAATGTGCATAAGAATCACCAAAGATGCTTGTTACAAAGACAAATTCCAGATTTGAAATCAGAAAAGGTTGAAGTTAAATCCTGGTTCTTCTGCTAATCATTAACTTGATGCTAAGCAAATTTCATCTAACCTGCTTTCTTCAGATTAGAGATGAAAGACTACGGAGATAGAGTGAAATAAAGCAAATGCTCTTGAAAAAATGCTAAAAGACTACAAAATAGAAATTTGCATTATTTATCATTATTTTCCATACTAAGGAGTGAGTCAGAGGGCATTTGACACGCAACCTGGTGTTCTGCATTGTGGGTTTCCTGTTGCTGAATGTGGAGAAGAGCCAGTAAGTCATCGATGGCCTTCCGCTCCTGGCTCTCCATGGTAGAACAGTAACTCCCAGTAACCCCAGCCACAGCCACAAATACCACCCTGTGGGTACTCACAGTCTTTCCCTTTGCTCTATACTTCCATCCTTATTACTAAAAGACTGGCATGCTCAAAGGTTGTTTAGCTTTCTAGAAAAATGTAATGCAATTCTTCTACCCTATTAAATTCATAACTGCAATTATTCCAGAAGTAATTTCTTCTATTGATGTATTCAGAGACCTTTTTCCATATATTCTAGATAGGGTATTATTTCAATCCTTTAAACAATAAAGGTGAAACTTTCATTTGAAATGAAAATTCTAAGTTGATGAGAACAAGACTAGAGGTGTAACTGTAGGGTCTATTAAGTATTAGAAAAAATACTACTAATTTATATGCAAAAATTAATACTTAAGAAACTACTCAATATCAATGTCTCCCTGTTGCTTATTTCACTGCATACAGACTCTTGCTGGCTTTTAGGGTCTTCATAACCAAAGTACCACTCTCTGGAAAATCTTACTTCCCACTGTCCTCCTTGGTCCCAACAAATGCTATCTTCTCCAATCTGGTCCCTCTCTCCACTGTCCTCACTATGTGCCTTCCTCATTCTTGTCTCTATTGCCCTTTAGACTTTTTGTTTTCTTCTCCCATGTGAAATGCCCTCTACCTCCTTGATGTTAAGCAACTTATCCTTCAAAGTACAGATTCAATTTCACTTCCTCCTTGAAACTGAATCCATACTGTGCTTGAAGTCAGTATCCCTCAATATTATTTCCAATAATTCCTTATTTGTTTTAAGTATCTCTAATTTCTTCATGAGTGTTTGGTTTTTATACCAACTATAAAGAGTACTGTAAGTTACTTAAAGGACATGTGATTATTTCTGTCCCTTCCACATTTATCCCAAATATTTATCTTCACTTCTATATGTAATAAAAGAAATGCAAATGTGTCAATATCAAAAAGGAAACTGAGAGGTTGCTAAAAATAAAAAAGCAGTGCTTATTTTTCAATGATTAGAGAATACCTTACTGATAATGAAATACATAAAACTCATAGGACACTAATTTTCTGGAAATGTCTATGTATAACGATAAATTTCAAAGATCTGTTTGCTAATTATACATTATTAATCATTTATACAATATATGAATATGCTTTAAATCACCTATTTTAAAGACAATATTTTGGTTATTATTTTAAAACAGATATAAATAATAAATAATCCACTTGGTCATATTAAAATTAAGCTATTGGCTTCCAGCTCACCTAATGTGAAATTACTTTTCTTCATAACTTCCTTACTGGCCCCAGCCCCCTCTGTTTCACAATTTTTGTGTGGATGAGAAGCGGGTAGCATTTTAAAGTAGAGAAATATCTCTGCAATGAAATAGGAATTGCAATATGTTCTTCAGCTCAAAAGGAACAGCTCTTACTTCCTGAGGAATTATAGAACTCACTCCATGTATTTTTAAAAGCTAGAGAAACAACTTATCAGTTTCTTATCAGTTTCACTTAACCCAAGCATCTTAAAAGATCAAATCTTAAAGATATAAAAGATTAGATCTTTTACATTTTAAAAAAAATAGATCTTAAATTTCTTAAAGACTTAAGGCCCATGCCCATTTCACCATCTTATATGATTATGGATGATTATGGTACAAGCACTATCAGGTTGACCAAACATAGAAATGCCAACCCTTTAACACTGCCCAAATTTACAGCAAGCACCTGAGAACCACACCAATCACAGGAAACACACTATATGTTGACTCTAGCAACTGAACTGGACTCCCCTTGTTCTCCAAGAAGCCTGTTTGTCATGGTTGTCCCTCTGTCCACAAACTTGTGCTGTCATTACATATACTACAAAAAAAGGGACTAAAAGGTAAATTGCAAGTTCATAGATTTATTTATTATGTTTCTATTCACTTCAGTGTTTCAGAATATGAAACTGAACTCAACAATGACTCTTTGTGTTAAGCTTTGGGGTTTTTTCCTATTTTATCATCCTATCAATCTAAAGGTTTAAATACTATCTATTCTGCTTGCCATACTTACACAAAAATAACTTCAATTATAAATGCATGCATATATTAGGAATCGACTATCCTTTTCCCTGCTCTTATTAGTATATCATATGCAAAATATTTAGAGGCTCAGGTTGAAGAATAGATTTCTTATATTTGTATTTTCTATTGAGTATTGTCTGAACGAGACTTGTGTATGTATGCTATTAAACCTGAGCCAAAATTTAAATGCATTTTCTTTCTCAAAATCTTCCCATTAATGAAAAATAATATGTAGTAGTTTTTTTATTTAAAAAAAGACAAGAAAAAACAGTCAAGTTTATTTTAACAATTTTAATACCAATTGCCCAAACTATAGAAAATGTTCAAACATGAATTTTAGTAGTCTATGAAGTATAATCTACTCAGTTTGTTGCTGTTGTTGAGGGTGGAAAAAAATAAATGTATGGTGGAATTTAATGTTGCTTAGCCCAAAAATATAGTATAATATGAAATAAACCATGTTCTTCAAATAACGAGTGTTGGCTTTAACTTAATGATTTCAAAACATCCTATAGCATCCTATTAAGAAAACTACAAAGGAAGAATAATGGTGTGCAGTAGACATGAATTTTAAGTGTCCACGTGTTTGTCCAAAGTGTTTGTGGCAGCCTGAACTTTAAAAGGAGTCTCCTTCATTTGACCATGAAACCTACCATAACTTCACCTCTGGTCCTTCACCTCACTTCACTAAAATCAAAAGAGTTAGCATTCTCATTTTTAAAACTCAACATAGAACAAAGACAATTCCTTTTATTTTTCTGAAATTAAAATTCAGTAAATGTAGTTACTGAAATATCATTATTAATAATATTCTAGACAATTCCTTTTTTAATTTTTAAAAAATAAGTAGACATGGTTACTGAAATATTGTTATTAAATAATATTCTGAGTTCCAATCTTGCAAGAACAGTTTTGAATGTAATCACCTAGAATTATGTATTAAATTTTGAGAAATAGTTTCCTTCAACTTTTCCTTCCCAAAATAAATCTTGACAGAGACAAAACGAAAAAAATTGTTGGCATTTAAGAGAATGAGAAGAAAAGGTTATAATGAATGCTCTTTGAATAGGTATGTTTGCAGGTATTCAATAGAGAAAGTTATACCTTCATTAATTATTAAGGGAACTATGTTTAAAAAAACTATTTTAAAGCAAATCTTTGCACCTATTCCCAAATATTTGTGAACAGGTAATTGTACTTCCTCGAGAAAAGTGAGTTCTTTTTGCTTTTATGTTTCTTTGTATCCCCCTTTTCTCCTCTCTCCTCCTCCTCCTTTTTGATTACAGTATCACTCTAGTATATACAGCTGCGATTTAGAGGGTGGCGCTTTGGAAGGTTCTTGCGACTTGATTGCTGAGATGTTAAATGGACTATTTACCTCTGCAGGCACAAAACCCACAACCACATCTGCCCCGTAGCGCTAGCGTTGGCGGTAGTGTTCTTTCGAAGGAGGTTGTGGGCTTGGAGCTTAGAGCATGCGCAGTAACAGGAGCCTCACGGATTCCCTAACTACGCTGACCCCTACCCTTCACATCAGCGACTGGGTTCATGCAGAAGTAAACTGACTGTAGAATAACTGGACTGTTTATTGCCTATTACTCAGCTTGCTGGTAACCATTATGCCGTACAGTGGTTCTCTTTGTTGAATCTTCAGAGCAAATTGTATCTTGTACGTTGTCAGCTTAGCTCAGCTGAATTTAATTTTGTGATACTAGCACAAATGTAATACCACGTTTACCTGTTTAAAGATAGAGGTGTCCATATCACGTCTTGACACAGCTCCAGAAACATCCAACAGGTGTCAACTAAGATAGAAGCTTTCTAGTTGACCTATACCCCCCGCCAAAAAACCTCTCTTTTTCTTTTATTCAGGAATAGGATTTACAGTACAGGTTTTTCTAACTTTTGTCCAAGTATTCGGGGAAAAGAATAAGACAAATGATTTCTTAGGGACATGGCAGGAAACAGGATTTGGATAAATTTCTTACTCAGAAAAAATTCCACCAAACTTTTAAGAATATTTTCCTCTTTTTTTCTATTTTTTTTCTTTTTCTTGTGTAATGATTTGTAATTTGGCGAACCTCAAACTTTCACTTCAAGTTATCCTCGTTCACTGGAGTTCCCGGATCTAATGCTTGTTTTATTCCACAAGTTCTAAAAAGTTCTCAGTTAATGTCTTCAAATACAGCTTCTACCTCATGTTCTATCTCTATCTCTCTTCTTCTATAATCCCAACTGGATAAATATTAGACCGTCTTATTCTTTCCTTCATGTATCTTTTGTATTTTCTATTTCTTTATAACTCTGGGTTTCAATTACAGACAATTTTGTGTAAAATCGTCTGTTGAGTTTTACATTTTCATTATATTTTTCATTTCTAGAACTGTTGGGTTTTACACATCTATTAACTCTTTACTCACCATTCTATATATTTGTTTGAAACATTTTAAACAAGCTTGTTTTTATTTTTTCAGTTTTACAGTTCCTACATATGAAGACTTTTGAGCCTTAATATTGTTTATACTTGCTCTCATTCACAGTGTCTTGTTTCCCTATATATTTATTGACTTTTTTCTTTTTACTTTGATCTTTCTTTTTTTTTTTTGACAAAGTCTCACTCTGTTGCCCAGGCTGGAGCGCAGTGGCACGATCTTGGCTCACTGCAACCTCCGCCTCCCTGGTTCAAGCGATTCTCATGCCTCAGCCTCCTGAGCAGCTAGGATTACAGGCATCCGCCACCATGCCCAGCTAATTTTTGTATTTTTAGTAGACACGGGGTTTTACCATGTTGGCCAGGCTGGTCTCAAGCTCCTGACCTCAGGTGATCCACCCACCTCGGCCTCCCGAAGTGCTGGGATTACAGGCGTGAGCCACTGCGCCTGGCCTCAATTTTCTCATTTTCATTTGAATTTATCTGTGGAAATTATTTGAGGCCTGAGATGAAAGTGGATTTCTTCATGGGAGGATTAGCATTTGCTTCTGTCAGGTGTTTGTGCACATTATCAGTCTGTATCAATTTAAACTATATCACTGGCTTCAGGTTTTTTGCTTGAGTGTGTGTGTTTCATAATACCAGGTGGTGTGAATTCTGGATACAAACTTGAATAGAAGCCAAATCGTGGTTGTGACTCTTCAGGAGAAATTCTTTCCACCTCTCATGAGAATAAAGGTTGAATAATCAAGTTTCAAGATAGGAAATTTTTTGTTCTGTTCCAGATTAATGTCAGAGTTTATTTCTAATGCATTCTTAAACTGGGAGTATAACACTTTGGGGTCCCAGTTTTGTTTAGAAGGAATCTCCTGATATAATCTTGAACTTGAGTGGGTCATAGGCTTTGTCTTCCATCCGTGAAACCTTAACAACTAATGCTTGAGACCTTCTGTGCTCAGCAAATACCACTAAAGCAAAAAACCAATGTCAGTGCTTTACTTATCTCTCATGGTTTCTGCCTTAAACTTATTTAAGTAAGCAGGTCGTAGCTGTCTAGAAAAAAAGCTCTAGAAGTACCAGAAGAATAAGGAGCTACCAAAAATAAATTTAACTACTTCTTACTCACTGTCGGCCCAGCATTTACTTTTTTTTAAAGTAGCCACAAAAAATCTTTCTTACATCAAAACAACCTTTCAGTGTTGATTTTAAGTAACGTAAACAAGCATTCATGTTTATTGCATAATCAATTACTACCACCAAACTTGAGGCCTAAGCATTTAAAGAACAGGGATTTGCACTACTATTTGCTGCCCTCTGCAGGTGAATCTAAAACTCACAGACAATATTGGAATTCTGGAAAAAACAAAAACTTCCGTATTCTAATGCAGATGTGCATTAGTGAACTTGAAACAAGACCGTTCATGAAATTGCATGAAATTGCAAAGTATTTCTATGTCCATTTCATATATGCCATATAACTGGGAAATTTTACATGTTGGATGATTCAGAAGTAGGTATTTCTCTTTTGAGAAGGTTAGCAGTAAAAAGAAGAGAAATATGTTTAAGATAGAAGTTATGTGTTGGTTTGATTTTCATCCTTAAATAATGGTGTAGTTGAACATATACGTCAAATTGTAAATCATTACTTGATTGGTATCGTATCATTTTTTCCTTTAAATTCCTTTTCATTAATTGACTACCCCTCATTCAAGGAAACTCTTCTGGAATAAGTGCAAATATCAGCCTTCAAGTTCAAAAGCCTTGTAAAAGATTGTATATCTCATTTAATTCCTCCAACTATTAAGTATCAAAGTGTAGGTATGGATAATAGAAACCCCCAGAATATATTAAGGACTGTAAAAGTGAACGGTTTCTGAGCCTACTTTACTTATGGGACCCTGAGCAACTGAAATGTTCTATTCCACAGAATATTTCCACATAATTTTCTTTTCTAGGTGAATATAGGTTCAATTTCTTAAATATAGCCACATAGGATATAGGGGCAGTGAAAGATCTGATGCAGCCCCAGTGAGCATCCTATGGCCTGGTTTGGCTTGGGAATTCTGAAAGATTCCAGAAACAATGTAAAAGTTGGAGAGACAGACAGAGAGAGAGCACGTGTGTGCACGCCCATTAGCTGTCCTGCAGAGGCCCTCTGGAGTGCCAGAAGTCACAACAGCAGATCACATCCTGGTTGTAATCACATCTTGATATTGATGTCAGCATGGAAAGAGAACTCATGAGTACCATATGCAATGAGTTATATTTCAAAGATTACAACACAGCATTGAGACAGCTCAAACAACAAAAGTTGTTTCCTAAACCTAAGGTGAAAGAGTGTTATGGAGAACAGATTCTGAATTTCAGTAAAGTGAAACACTCAGAAATCCACGGAGCAATGAAGTTTACTTGAAAATAATTAAGCTTTATCCTTCAGACAGAAAAGGGTATTGAGATAGAGATTTTATCCAGATGAAAGAAAAACATTACATTTTTCACATCAGCATTTGTGACGGGAAAAAAATAGTGAAAGATTCAAAAGAAGTTTCTGAAGAAATTTTGCCAGCACAATCACTTGGCTTTTGTCCATCCTTTCACTAGCATCTTACTCTCTGTTTATGTCTGGTGTTCATAATTTCTTCTGTTCTACCTAGCCCCTCCCTTAGTTTGGATAACTTTCCCCTCCAAAGCAAAGTACCACAAGAACAGGTATTATATCTATTTTGCTTATCATTTGTCTCAAATACCTAGAATGGCCCTGGCTTATGGTACATGCTTGATAAATACTTATTAAAATGACATAAAAGTTTTTTTAAAACTTGATTCCTAAAGCACAGATGAGAAACCAATCTTTTGATAGAAATATTGAATTAAGGCAAGATATTACTTTTACCTTCTCTTTCTCATTAGTGGACTGAATACGTTTTGTGGATACTTGGTTTATGGCAGTTACTAGGACCCAACTTAGAAAAGAAAGTCACCATTTGTCAGCCTAAAGGACAGGCAGATTTTATCCTTTTCTTAGTATTGTAGTTTAAATGTCATAATTTACTATTTTCCCTTTAGAATGTCCCTTTTATCCTCAATCTCTCTGACTTTATCATCACTAGGAAGAGTGAGAAAGGAGTCAGAGATTTCTTCATTAAACAGAAGAAGAAAAGGACAGATTCCAAATTACCGTAAGGTAATAGCTTAGTATTTCAAACAAACATTGTTATTTGCTGCCCCTTACTGGTAAGATAATACAATTGCTAAATCACATTTTAAAAGTGTAGTCTTTGGCCACTAAAATCTTATTTTGCAGGAAGTAGCTCTTTTACCACAACAAGAATTGTACCAGTTGGTTGTGTCAAATAACAGAACACCGTATGGGAGGAGTTGCTTAATAGAGTCCATTTTCAGGCCATCTCTTGGATAATTTACAGAAAAGTTAAGTAGAAAAAGATATTAAAGTAAACCTCATATATATAAAGGCATCCTCCCTTGCTTGAAAACTTGAAATTTATCACTGACAACAAATACTATCAGTTGCTTTCTTGAAGTAAAAAGTTCATTTCATTCATTTTGGAGAAAGTATTTTCCAAATGCACACATCTGAATAACCATGGTCTGTCTGGCAGTCACTCTTTCAAGTTAAAAAAAAAAAAATTCCATGGTAAGAAGCAGATAATTCAGTTGCAATTCAAACTAGATCCCTAGTGATTTTCTCAAAATAACCATCATCGTACTCATTGTTCAGCAAAAGTGCTTCATGCACACTTCCCATGTCATCACACAGAAACATTAGAAAAGGGCAGGACTGAACTGCTGGAAAATGCCTTAGTGGGTGCTTTAGAATAAACCAGTGTTCTGAGAGTTTCCAGAACTGTGGAGTTGGGCCTTTGGATGCAGAAACAGCAGTTCTGCCCTGGTCTCTATTACTGGTTATTGGGCCCAGGGATTCTGGTTATAAGAGTGATGTTTTTTTGCTTCTCATGATAGGTTAGCTAGCCATGGGGGACTTTAATTTGAGAGCAAAATGGCCTTAGCTTTACCAAGAAGGTATCCAGAACTATAGGATAACAACCTAATGTGTGGTTTTTAGTAGCCTAACTTCAGTAAACAGCATATAGATCCTGGGACTGCGTTGAAATAATCCCAAGACAGTGTATCCCAAGAAAGTGTATACGAAGGACCTAATTTTTGGAAAGCTGCAGTCAGATGACAATTCCAAGCAGAGACGTGGAAAATTCTGTACTGTATCAGATATGCTTAGTGTCCTTCCCACCTGAGAGAAGAGAAACAACTCTCTCCTCTTCCCTTCCCAGTAAACTATTAGAAAGAATAATACTAGTCGTGCACAGTGGCTCACACCTTTAATCCCAACAGTTTGGGAGGCTGAGGCAGGCAGATCACTTGAGGTCAGGAGTTCGAGACCAGCCTGGCCAACATGACAAAACCCCATCTCTAGTAAAAATGCAAAAATTAGCTGGGTATGGTGGTGCATGCTTGTAGTACCACCTACTCGGGAGGCTGGGGCAGGGGAATGGCTTGAACCTGGGAGGCAGAGGTTGCAGTGAACTGAGATCCCACCACTGCACTGCACTCCAGCCTGGATAAAAAAGCAAGGCTATGTCTCAAAAAAAAAAAAAAAAAAAAGAATACTGTCTTCCCTTCCTCATTTTCAGCCAATTCACTCAAACTTCATCCCCTACTCCCCACTGAAAACAGTAAAATAGAATATAAAGCCATCAATGGCTTTCTAACTGAAGCACAATATAGACTTATTTTAATCCTCATGTTGCTAATTCATTTCAATCAAGCCTCTTCTCAAAACTCATTTCCTAAGACAGGCTTTCCCTGACCACCCTAACTAAAACAGTACTCATTATGGCTCTGTTGCTTTCCCTGACATTATCCCTTTTTTACTTCTATCATAGAGAATTTCAATTATAGAGAGCCAACAATGCCAATCATTCACACGTGGTCAAGAATAGCGCTTATGCCCACCAGTCAGACTAGAAAACCCTATGATTCATAAATCATTGGGAATAGTACATGGAAAGGTCTTGTCTCAATGAAAGGGATTAATTAGCACTAGTCTAAGTATTGAGCTTCTCTCATCAAAGAAATCTTATATTCGAGACCCAAAAGGTCAAACTGTTTTCAAGTAACATAGCCGTAACTCAGAACAAAGCTTAAAAATTCTTATAGGAATGCAAAAATATTCAACACCCAACGAGGTAAAATTTACATCATCTGGCAACCCATAAATAATTATTAGGCCTGGTGAGAAGTGGGAAAATAAGTCATTCAATCAAAACCAAGCTAGAATGGTCAGCACATGTTAGAATTAGCAACCAACAATATTTTAAAAGTTATAGTTGTATTCTATACATTTGAAAAGTTCAATAGAGATGTAAAATATATTTATTAGACCCAAACCAAAGTTTTAAAGGTTAAAACTACAATGTGTAAAATGAAAATGCTGAATGTAGTTAATGGCAGATTAGCATTTCAGAAGAACAGATTGGAAGATTAGTAAGTTTGAATATACAGCAATAGAAACTATCCAAAATAAAACCACAGAGAACAGGGAATTTTTTTGTAATAAACAGATCTGTGAGCTGTCACATAATTGAAACAGACTAATGTACACATATCTATAAGTGCCTAGAGGACGTTTCAAAATGGGGAGAAAGAAAAATTATTTGAAGAAATACAACTGAAATTTTTCTAAATTTGATGAAAACTATAAAGCCACAGAGCCAGGAAGTTCAACAAACCCCAAGCACAAGAATCATAAAGGAAAATACACCAAGGTACATTACAAACAAATTGCTCAAAACCAGGGTAATCCTTTTTTTTTTTTTTGAGAGGAGAGTAGGCTTTATTATTCTTTATATTTTACAAATGAAGAAACATCCATTCCTCAGTCAGTGAGTCAATTGAACAACATTTATCAAATATCTGTTCATTCATGATACAATGTGAATGTATCATGGCAGGCCACACCTGCAAGTCTTTGGAGACATGAGTGTAACTGTAAATATTAAGGGTCTATAAAAAGTCAATGAATCAATTAGAGATAAAATTCTGTTTCATTAAGATGAATTCTTAATGATGGATTCAACCAACCACATTTTATTCTTTTATTCTGTGAGTTCCTTTCAAAAAAAAAAACTTATTTTGGGTTCGGGTGTACACTTGCAGGTTTTTTATACAGGTGAACTCGTGTCACAGGGGTTCATTTACAGATGATCTCATCGCCCAGGTACTAAGCCTAGTACCTAATAGTTATTTTCTCTGCCCCTCTCCCTCCTCTCACCCTCTACCTTCAAGTAGGCCCCAGTGTCTGCAAGGCAATCCCAAGCAAAAAGAACAAAGCTGGAGGCATCACACTACTTGACTTCAAGCTATACTACAAGGCTACAGTAACCAAAACAGCATAGTATTGGTACAAAAGCAGACACACAGACCAGTGGAACAGAATAGAGAGCCCCAAAATGAGGCCACACACCTACGACCATCTGATCTTCAACAAAGCTGACAAAAATAAGCAATGGAGAAAGGATTCCCTATTCAATAAACAGTGCTGGGATAACTGGCTAGCCATAGGCAGAAGATTAAAACTGGACCTCCACCTTACAACATACACAAAAATCAACTCAAGATGAGTTAAAGACTTAAATGTAAAACCCAAAACTGTAAAAGACCTGGAAGACAACCCAGCCAATACCATCCTGGGCATAGGAACGGACAAAGATTTCATGACAGAGATGCCAAAAGCAATCACAACAAAAGCAAAAACTGACAAATGGCAAATGGGATCTAATTAAACTTAAGAGCTTCTGCACAGCAAAAGGAACTATCAACAGGGTAGACAGACAACCTACAGGATGGAAGAAAATATTTGCAAACTATGCATCTAACAAAGCTCTAATACCCAACATCTATAAGGAATGTACAAAAATTTACAAGAGAAAATCAAACAACCCCACCAAAAAGTGAGCAAAGGACATGAAGAGGCACATTTCCAAAGAAGACATACATGCGGCCAACAAGCATATGTAAAAAAGTTCAACATCACTGATCATTAGAGAAATGCAAATTAAAACCACGATGAGATACCATCTCACACCAGTCAGAATAACTATTATTAAAAAGTCAAAAAATAACAGATACTATCAAGGTTGCAGAGAAAAGGGAACTCTTATACACTGTTGCTGGGGGGTGTAAACTAGTTCAACCATTGTGGAAAGTAGTGTGGCAGTTTCTCAAAGAGCTAAAAACAGAACTACCATTTGACCCAGCAATCACTTAAATAGTGTCTAAGTTCATTCACTTAGATAGTGTCTGTGGCTGCTTTCACATTATAACAGAAGAGTAGGATTTAGAAGGAAATTGGCACTAGATGCCAATATTGGATATAAAAACACCACTAAAGCAGTACTTAGAGGAAAATCTATACTACTAAGTGCCATTATTAAAAAAAGAGAAAGGGCGGAGCGCAGTGGCTCACGCCTGTAATCCCAGCTCTTTGGGAGGCCAAGATGGGTGGATCACTTGAGGTCAGAGTTTGAGACCAGCCTGGCCAACATGGTGAAACTCCATCTCTACTAAAAATAGAAAAATTAGTCGATCGTGGCAGCAGGCACCCAAAATCCCAGCTACTCGGGAGGCTGAAGCAGAAGAATGGCCTGAACCCAGGAGGCGGAGGTTGCAGTGAGCCGAGATTGTGCCATTGGACTCCAACCCGGGCGACAGAGTGAACGTGACTGTCTCAAAAAAAAAAAAAAAAAAGAAAAAGAAAGAAAAAGAAAAGCATCTTGAATAAACGATTTCAGCTTGCACTTTAGGAGTAGTATAATTTGACACAGCCTCTAGGGCCCACAAAGCCTAAAGCCTAAAATATTTACTATCTTCTCTTTAAAAAAAAGTTTACTGATGCATGATATAGAATATTAGAATTTGACCTAATAGATATTTATAGAGTATGCCATCCAACAATAGCATAATGCACATTCTTTTTAAGTGCACATGGAACACTTATCAAGAGTGACTGTATTCTGAGCCATAAAACAAGTCTCAATTCAAACGGATTAAATCCACACAAAATGTGTTCACTAGTCATGATAAAATCTAATATCAAAAAGTTATCTGGAATATTCTCAAACATGTGGAAACTAATTGATACAACTCTAAATAACTTAGAAGTTAAAGAAGAAAACTAAAGAGAAGTCAGAAATTATTTTGTATTGAATGTGAAAACAGAACATATCAAATTTTGGGGAAATGCCAGTAAAGTATTACTTAAGAGGAAATTTATTATAAGAGCCAGTATTAAAGAGAAAAAGGTCTCAAATAAATTACTTTAGCTTCCACCTTAAGAAACTATTTTAAAAGATTAAATTAATTCAAAGTAATAGAAGAAAGGAAATCATAAATACCAGAGCACAAACTAATGACATAAGAAAGAGAAACATCAATGAAACCAGAAGTTGGTTATTTCAGAAGATCAATAAACTTGATAAACCGCTAGCCAGATAGATCATGAAAAAGAGAGAAGATACAGTGAGAGAGGGGACCTCATAAAAGAATCTACAGTTACTAAAGAATAATAAGGAAATACGAACAACTTTATGCCTATAAATTTACACCTTAGATGAAGTGAAAAAAAAATCTTGAAAGACAGAAACTACCAAAGCTCACTCAAGAAGAAATACACAACCTAATAACCCTATATCTATTAATAAATTTGAATCTATAGTTTAAAATCTTCCCATAAAGAAAACCCCAAGCCACTTTGCTTCACTGTCAATACTACCGAACATTAAAGGAAGAAACAATACGAATTCCTCACAAGCTCTTCTAGAGAACTGAAATGAAGAGATGTTCTAATCACTTCCTACTCACCCTGTTCGTTAAGGAGGAGTCCCCACCCTGAGTAGAACAAGATAGCCAAACACACAACACCTAACACTGTACCGATGAGACTAAGAAATTAAGAGATTAAGCTTAGTCACATATACAGTACTCACAGGCCAGGGAAGATGATACTGCAAGCCACATGGCCACATGAAGCTTGCACTCAGCAAAAGAGTAAAGCAGAAACTGTGGGAGGCAGGCCATGTAGGGAAAACGGGGTGGGGTGACCACTGGTTCCTATGGGAGGATGTGATTGGCTTCTTTGAATAATTTTACAAGCTGACAGGGAAATAAAACCTCTTAGGTTGAAGACTAGGTAGAGTGCAATTGGTCCAGCTAATAGAAGAACTAGCTGGGCAGAGAACCTTTCACACTGGTGGGGGGCAAATCTGATAAGAGCATGAGAACACACACCTAGGCCTTGGAAGCCCCGGAGGCTCGAAGATGTCAGGGCAACCCATGGAATCTCAGGCCTCACAGTATAAGGGAATGCATACCAATTCATTCTATGATGCTAGCATTACTATGACAAAAAAAAAAAAAAGACATTACAAGGAAAAAAACTATGTGCTAATATTTCGCACATAGGTTTAAAATTCTGAACAAAATTTTATCAAATTAACCCAACAATATATAACAGAAAATGCACCATTGTTTCTTGGATTGTTTGTTTGTTTTCTGTTGCCCAGGATGGAGTGCAGTGGTGCAATCTCGGCTCACTGCAACCTCTGCCTCCCAGATTCAAGTGATTTTCCTGCCTCAGCCTCCCGAGTAGCTGGGGTTACAGGCACATGCCACCACACCCAGCTAATTTTTGTATTTTTAGTAGAGACAGGGTTTCACCATGTTGGCCAGGCTGGTCTCAAACTCCTGGACTCAAGTGATCCTCCCACCTCAGCCTCCCAAAGTGCTGGGATTACAGGTGTGAGCCACCCACCTGACTCACCATTGTTTTTCAAGTGGGATATTTATCCCAGAAATGCAAGGTTAGTTTAACATTAAAGAATCAATCAAAGTTTTAAGAATTGTATGTTCATCTCAATAGATTTGACAACACCCATTTCTGATTTAAAAAATAAATAAATAAATCTTAGTCTTAGCCCAGTGGCTCACGCCTATAATCCCAGCACTTTGGGAGACCAAAGCAGACAGATTACTTGAACCCAGGAGTTTGAGATCAGCCTGGGCAGCATGACGAAACCCAGTCTCTACAAGAAATTCAAAACATTAGCCTGTCATGGTGGCACACACCTGTAGTCCCAGCTACTAGGGAAGCTGAGGTGGAAGAATTACTTGAGCCCAGGAGGCTCAGTGAGCTGAGGCTGTACCATTTCACTCCAGCCTGGGCAATAGTGAGACCTTGTCTCAAAAAATAAAATTAAATTAAATAAATAAATAAATAGTAATCAGATTAAAATTTTTTAAAATCTTGGTAAAATAGAAATAGAAGAGAAATCTTCGATCAGATATAGAGCATTTATTAAAAATCTATAACTAACATCATACTTAATGGTGAAAGATTGAATGCCTTCCTCCTAGGATCAGGAAAAAAAATCACAAATATTTCTACTTCTATTCAACATTGTGCTAGAGGTTGTAGTCAGTGTGAATAGGCAAGAAAAAATAAATAAGAGGCACCTGGTTTGAAAAGAAAGAAGCAAAATTCTCTTTATTAGCAGTTGTGAGTAGATTATAAATTAATAGAAACCCAATAAAATCTTCAAAAAATTTATAGAACAAATAATTTATCAAGACCATGGGATAGAGAAACAATACACAAAAACTGATATTTCTATAATCTCTAAACCACAGATGGGCATAACACATTTGCCAATTATATATAGAATAAAAAACTTGTATTCAGACAGTATAAAGAAACTCAATAGTAAGAAAATGAACAACTCAGTAAAAATTGGCAAATGATTTGACCAGATACTTTATCAAAGAAAATAGCAAATGGAAAATAAGCATATGAAAAGATGGTCAGCATCATTAGTTATCAGGGAAACACAAACTAGAATCATTGAGATACAACTCTACATCTATTAGAATGGCTATATTTTAAATAAAATTAAAAACTGATCATATCAAGTGTAGGAGAGAATGTGGATGAACTGGAATGCTCTTAATACTGGTGGGAATAATAATAGTGGGAATGTGGGATAGTACATACACTTTGCAAAACAGTTTAGGCAGTTCAGTTTCTTTAAAAGTTTGTCATACACCTACTCTATGATCCAAACGCTCCACATTCCACCCAAGAGAAATAAAAGCATATATACATACAAACACTGGTACATGAATGTTGATAGCAGTTTTATTTGTAAAAGCTAAAAAGTGGAAACCAAATTCCATCAATAGGTAAATTTGCACTAAAATGGAATGAACCATTGATAAGCACTCCCATATGGCTGAATCTCAATATAATTATTCTGAGTAAAAGCCAGAAGAAGAGTACATACTATTTTATTCATACATACAAAATTTAGAAAATGAAAACTAACGTGTGGTAACAGCATGGAAGTGGTCTCCTGGGGTTGGGGACCAGTAGGGACCAGCAGGAAGGATTACCAAGGGGCTTCAGAAAATTTTTATGGATAATGGATACATACGTTCATCACGTTCATGGTCTCATGCGTGCACACATACATCAAAGCTTAGCAGACTGTACATGTTACATACATATAGTTTATTGTGCATCCGTTATACTTCAATAAAACTTTTTTTAATAGGCATTAAAAATAAGCTGGGTGGTTTGGCTTCTCTGAGCTGAGCTTTGTTGGTCAGCTGGCAGCTGGCTGGTCTAGGATGGCCTCAGCTGAGATGACTTAATTCTGTTCCGTGTAATCTATTATTGGCCAACAAGCTAGCCTGAACTTTGTCACACTGTGGTGGCAGTGTTGCAAAAATGAGAAAGCAACATTGTATAAAAGAGTAAGCAGAAAGCACACAAGGCTTCTTGAGGACCATACTCAGAACTGGTATAGTGTTTTCTCTGCTGCCTTCTATTCATCAAAGCAAGTTATAAGGCTAGTCCAGGTTCAAGGGATGGGGAAAAATACCTCTTTATGGAAGGAGCTGCCAACATATGATAACAAACATGAATACAGGGAAGAGAATACTTTAGGCTATTTTTGCAGTCAGCGTAACTTAAGGTCATTCTTCCAATTATCAGATCATTATTCTAAGATCATTATTAACTCATGCATTTGATTGTATGATGTATTTGTCAATTGCGGTTATTATCTTCATTGATATTCAAGTTGTCCATATTTGGAGAGTGGGGTCCTGTGTTTACTTGAGAATTTCCTGACACATCTTCTGTGGCTGGAAACTATATTTCCCAGAATTACCTTCCCTATGTGGCTTTAAGTCAGAAGTAACTTACGCAAAATTTGGAAGTTGGAAGTGGAAGCAGATATTCAGTGGCTTCACAGACCTCTCCATGAGCTACCATTTTGCCTGTGGGAGGAAGACTAAAAGCTTCTCACACTCTTCTCAAATTCTTGCCTTTCAAGCCACTTGACGCTTCAAGCTGAAAACATTAATGATGTGATCCTCTGGCTTCCTTCCCAGCCTTTCCACACTCATATAAATTCAAATTCTTATCATAAACCTTTCTGTTTCCATAATAGTTGTCATGGCTCCTCTCTTGTCTGAATCTGAGTTGATAAAGAGTTTCTTCAAGTTGGCTCCTGAGTCCTTTGGATATACACAATATTGTAGTTTTTGGTAACTCACTTGCTTTCTGGAGTAAGAATATACTATAAGGTTATCTTCTTGTATTCCTGTCTAAAATCTAGAACCAGCTATTTCTTCAGGGACTCCCTGTTTTTTAAGTTACTTGGAATAGTTCTTCTCCATCTGACTACTTATTTATTAATTATAGATGTATTAATAATAGCCTATAGTACTCTCTGCCATTAAATCCTCTCATTGCACTTATATTCTAATGGAGAAGACAGAAAATAAGCAAATAAAATGAGCAAATAAATAACAAGCAAGTAAAATGAGCAAATAAGTATTTTCTCCACTAGAATGTAAGTCCAGTGAGATCAAGGATATTGATTTGCTCACCACTGCATCCCTAGTGTCTAGCAAAGTGCCTGGCACATCACACGCACTCAAAAATTTGTTAAAGATTAAATGAAATGTTTGTTCCTAGTTCATATCGTTTTCTGCCATTTTAGACCAATGACATGGCCACCACTTATAACAATACTCTGCACAAACAATGCTCTGCATAAAGTAGGGAGCAACATTCACATTGCAGTTAATGA
Source organism: Homo sapiens (assembly GCF_000001405.40). Lineage (NCBI taxonomy): Eukaryota > Metazoa > Chordata > Mammalia > Primates > Hominidae > Homo > Homo sapiens. The sequence goes on from NC_000003.12 coordinate 88,015,220, forward strand.
AAATGGCACCCTAGGATGGTGGACAACCTCAATAACAATTCACAGCAGCCCTGCGACCAGCTTAATAGACATCTCTAACTGAACGCCCGCAGGCATTTGAAACTCAACATAAAAAAAAATCTTATTTCATTACTATTATTTATTGCCCCATTCTCCTCTTCTAAGCTTCCCTATCTCTGTTTTAATAGTTCCATTATACTCCCAAGAAACCAAACTAAACCGGAAACCTGAGAAGCTTCCTCAATCCCCCTTTCCCTTATGAGCACAAGTTAGTGTGTACCTTGATAGTAAGAGGTGACAGCGTGCTGGCAGTCCTCACAGCCCTCGCTCGCTCTGGGCGCCTCCTCTGCCTGGGCTCCCACTTTGGCGGCACTTGAGGAGCCCTTCAGCCCACCGCTGCACTGTGGGAGCCCCTTTCTGGGCTGGCCAAGGCCGGAGCCGGCTCCCTCAGCTTGCGGGGAGGTGTGCACGGAGAGGCGCGAGTGGGAACCCGGGCTGGGCACGGCGCCTGCGGGCCAGCTGGAGTTCCGGGTCGGCGTGGGCTTGGCGGGCCGGCACTCGGAGCAGCCGGCCAGCCCTGCTGGCCCCGGGCAATGAGGGGCTTAGCACCTGGGCCAGCGGCTGCGGAGGGTGTACTGGGTCCCCCAGCAGTGCCAGCCCACCAGCGCTGCGCTCAATTTCTCGCCGGGCCTTAGCTGCCTTCCCGCGGGACAGGGCTCGGGACCTGCAGCCCGCCATGCCTGAGCCTCCCACCCCCTCCGTGGGCTCCTGTGCGGCCGAGCCTCCCCTACGAGCGCCGCCCCCTGCTCCCGGGCGTCCAGTCCTATCAACCACCCAAGGGCTGAGGAGTTCGGGCGCCTGGCACGGGACTGGCAGGCAGCTCCACCTGCAGCCCCGGTGGGGGATCCACTGGGTGAAGCCAGCTGGGCTCCTGAGTCTGGTGGGGATGTGGAGAACCTTTATGTCTAGCTCAGGGATTGTAAACGCACCAATCGGCACTCTGTATCTAGCTCAAGGTTTGTAAACACACCAATCAGCACCCTGTGTCTAGCTCAGGGTTTGTGAATGCAGCAATAGACACTCTGTATCTAGCTAATCTGGTGGGGAGGTGGAGAACCTTTGTGCATAGCTCAGGGATTGTAAACGCACCAATCAGCACCCTGTCAAAACAGACCACTGGGCTCTACCAATCAGCAGGATGTGGGTGGGGCCAGATAAGAGAATAAAAGCAGGCTGCCCAAGCCCGTAGTGGCAACCCGCTGCGGTCCCCTTCCATATTGCGGAAGCTTTGTTCTTTCGCTCTTTGTAATAAATCTTGCTGCTGCTCACTCTTTGGGTCCACACTGCCTTTATGAGCTGTAACACTTACCGCGAAGGTCTGCAGCTTCACTCCTGAAGCCAGCGAGACCACGAACCCACCGGGAGAAAAGAACAACTCCAGACGCTCTGCCTTAAGAGCTGTGACACCCACGGCAAAGGTCCACAGCTTCACTCCTGAGCCAGTGAGACCAGGAACCCCACCAGAAGGAAGAAACTCCGAACACATCTGAACATCAGAAAGGACAAACTCCAGTCACGCTGTCTTTAAGAACTGTAACACTCACCTCGAGGGTCCGTGGCTTCATTCTTGAAGTCAGTGAGACCAAGAACCCATCAATTTCGGACACAATAGGTCTCCTCTTCATCCCCTTCTTCTTTTCTCATTACTGTGTCTCAAGTTTAAGATTTCATTGTCTCTCCTTTGGTATCTCTACATCCAACTCCATCCAAGTGCAATCTGTCCTCTATAAAAATTTTTGAAGTCATCTTTTTACATCTCAAGGGTGGTCCAGGTTTTTCTCTTGTTTACATCCTTCAGTGGTTTGCCACTACCTATGTGGGATCAAGTCCATGCTCCTTAGCAGGATGGAGAAGACTGGTCCCCACCCTCGTCTCCAACTGTATTTTATACTCTGCCCCAAGCTCTTACATTTAACTTGCTTGTAAATTAAAGCCCGTGATCAATTTTATTCTTTTTTTTTTTTTTTTTTTTGAGATGGAGTCTGGCTCTTTCGCCCAGGTTGGAGTGCAGTGGCGCCCTCCCGGCTCACTGCAAGCTCCGCCTGCCGGGTTCACGCCATTCTCCTGCCTCAGCCTCCCAAGTATGTGGGACTACAGGTGCCGGCTACGGCGCCCGCTACTGCGCCCTGCTAATTTTTTGTATTTTTAGTAGAGACGAGGTTTTACCGTGTTAGCCAGGATGGTCTGGATCTCCTGACCTCGTGATCCGCCCACCTCGGCCTCCCAAAGTGCTGGGATTACCAGCGTGAGCCACCGTGCCCGGCCTTATTCATTCTTTTAAACTCAGCTCAGGTAATACCTCTTTCCTAAAACTTCTCTTAGTTTTTCTCCACTCCAGATGAGCATTCAACTTCTTCTCTTGCTGTATTATCCTGTATTATTTTGAACACCTATTTTCTCTATGGTTCTTGTTTTCATTTTCATCTTCTCCAAACCTCTTAGCTCCTTGACATCGAAAGCCATACATATTTTTTCCTGTTTCCTTAGCTTGTAGCCTAGCAAAGTTCTGGGACAAATATTGTAAAGCTTGATAAATGATTATAGAAGGATGAACAGATTTATAGATATCTGAGAAATGTTTTTATTTAATAGAGTATTATATTGAAACAATATTACGGGAACTACTGCAAACTGAAACCCAAGCTACTAGTATTTCCACACAAGTCTTTATAAAAAGGCCCACTAACACCTTAACACCTCCTCCCAATGTCTTTGTAATGAGCCTGAAAAAGACTGAGGTCATGGACTGACATCCTTGCTACCACTTTCCCCAGAATGTGCCTGTATGGTTGATATCACCTTTGAATTTTCACCATGCATTTGGGGGAAAAAGAGACTGAAGAGAGTTAATGACATAGCATATGGATAGAAAAAGCAGAGTGGTAACTAGCCAAAGTTAGAGATTTCATCCTCATATTTGAGTAAGCTTACCAAGGTCAGGAAAATTCCACCATGACTACAAATGATCACTGTGGAAAGACTAGAAGATCTAGACTCACCCAGCATATTCATAATTCTTAGATTGAAAGGACCTTTTCATTAACATCTGTATTTATTGTTTGAAAGTGCAGCCAATACCAAAAGTTAAGGAAGGAAGGAAGGAAAGAAAGAAAGAAAAGGAAGGAAGGAGGGAAGCAAAGAAAGAGAAAGAGAAAGGATTACGAAGAATACCAGGTGTGGTGGCTCACACCTGTAAACGCAGCATTTTGGGAGGCCAAAGTAGGTGGATCACCTGCGGTCAGGAGTTTGAGACCAGCCTGGCCAACATAGTGAAACCTTGTCTCTATTAAAAATACAAAAATTAGTCAGGTGAGGTGGCGCACACCTTTAGTCCTAGCTACTCAGGAGGCTGAGGCATGAGAATCGCTTGAACCTGGGAGGCAGATGTTGCAGTGAGCCGAGATGGCACCACTGCACTCCACTCCAGGCTGGGCGACAGGGTGATACTCTGTCTCAAAAAAAAAAATGGAATATGAAGAAAGAGTTAAATTTAGGCTGAAGTTATTATATAGCACCAAGAGATTTAATCATTAATAATAACTAATACTTTTTAAATTGTTTGAAAAGTACTCATTTTTTTCTCCTATTTTTAACTTTTAACAGGTATGCTTGTAAGCCATATATTATTTAACTTTTAAGTATTATGGAGTATTAAAATGCAAATTGAAAACAAAAATATCAGACCTTGCACTCAAAGAATTTCAAATGAATTTAAGATGACTGAGACACACACACACACACATAACAAGAAGATGGTATAATATAGAATATTTTTCTTGCAGGAAAAGCCTTGAAAATTTTTGGAGTACATATAGTAAGAATGCACTTCACTGCAGCAAAAGTAAGTGTGGCTTTGAACAAAAGTTTGCTTCAGTATAGCTGTTATGTGACACCTAGTAGCTCTGTGGTTTTTGTGGACACGTAAAATCTGCTGAACTCTGAAAAGCATTTCCACAGTAGTCTATTTTACATAAGTACACTGGTGCCAGACATTTAACGCTAACCACAGAGTGAAAAAGGCAGCATGCATATAAATATATAAATAAAAATTGATATGTAAATAATCATAATCACATCACTACAAACCACATGTTTTTCATAAAATATCTTAATTTTCAAATTGGCAGGCTGATCACTTGTAATTGGAGAAAGCCTTCAAACTAAATAAATATAATCTATTATAAACATAAATGATTTGAATTGATTTGGATAGGTGAGTAGCTATGAATTATTTGATATTTTATCAAATCCAAATTACCACAGCTAAGGCCGGGCATGGTGGCTCATGCCTGTAATCCCAGCACTTTGGGAGGCTGAGGTGGGCAGATCACTTGAGGTCAGGAGTTTGAAACCAGCCTGGCCAACATGGTGAAACCCCATCTCTACTAAAAATACAAAAATTAGCTGGGCATGATGGCACACTCCTGTAATCCCAGCTACTTCGGAGGCTAAGACACGAGAATTGCTTGAACCTGGGAGGCAGAGGTTGCAGTGAGCCAAGATCACACCACTGCACTCCAGCCTGGGTGGTAGAGCGAGACTCCATCTCAAAAAAAGAAAAAAATATTACCACAGCTAAATTTAAAAAGTGTAGCCAGGGAGGTCCTTTATGCTTTACTGAATCAGTATGCTTTAATATAAAAATACACATATTGAATGAAACTGGAGGACACTATGCAAAGTGAAAAAAGCTAGGCACAAAAAGACAAATACTATATAATCTTAATTACATGATGAATCTAAGAAAGATGATCGCATGGAAACAGAGACTAGGAGAAAGAGGAGAGATCAGGAAAAGGAAGATGGTAAACAAAAGCTACAAAGTTTCCGTTAGACTGAAGAAATAAGTTTTAGAAATCTGTTGCACTATATGGTGAGCACAGTTAATAATAATGTATTGTATACTTCAAAATTGCTGAAAGAATAGATATTTAACTTTCTCACCACAAAAAAAATGCTAAGTTGGTCAGGTGGTGGATATGTTAAAGTTTCTATAATGTATACATAGATCAAAAGATCACATTGTATCCTATAAATATACGTAATTACCATTAATCAATTAAAAGAAATTTTTATTTATTTATTTATTTATTTTTTTTTTAGATGGAGTTTCACTCTTGTTGCCCAGGCTAGAGTACAATGGAGTGATCTCAGATCACCACAACCTCTGCCTCCCAGGTTCAAGCTATTCTCCTACCTCAGCCTCCCAAGTAGCTGGGATTACAGGCATGTGCCACCACACCCAGCTAATTTTCTATTTTTTGTAGAGACGGGGTTTCTCCATGTTGGTCAGGCTGGTCTTGAACTCCAGACCTCAGGTGATCCACCCGCCTCGGCCTCCCAAAGTGCTGGGATTACAGGTGTAAGCCACCGCACCTGGCTTAAAAGTAAATTTTAAAAATAAACAGTTTATAAATTAGAATTAATAAACAAACATTGAAATTGTATAAAGAATGTTTCCAAATACAAAGGGTTTTAAAAACCAGTTCTCTATATGATAAAAACCCTCAACAATTTGGGTATAGAAGGAACATATCTTAACACAATAAAGGCCATATATGACAAGCCCACAGCTAATACCATTCTGAAGGGGGAAAAATTGAAATCTTATCCACTAAGACCTGGAACAAGACAAGGATGCCCACTTTCACCACTTTTATTCAGCATAACACTAAATGTTCTAACCAGAGCAATTATACAATAGAAAAAAATTAAGTGCATCCACATTGAAAAGAAAGAAGTCAAATTATCCTTGTTCGCAGATGACAAGAGCTTATATTTAGGGAAACCAAAAGACTCCACCGAACTACTCTTAGAGCTGATCAGCCAATTTATTTAAATTGCAGGATATAAAACCAACATACAAACATCATCTGAAAGGGAAATCAAGAAATTCCATTTACAACAGCTACCAAAAAAAAAAAATAATAATAAAATGCCTAGGAATAAATTTAACCAAGACATGAAATATCTCTACAAAGAAATCAACAAAAGACTTATGAAAGAGAGTGAAGAGACCAAAAAAATAGAACAGATATCTGCAATAGTTTGGACATGTGTCTCCTGTAAATCTCATGATGAGTTGTAATCCCTGGTGTTGGAGGTGGTGCCTGGTGGGAGGTGATTGTATCATGGAGGCAGATTTCTCAGGAGTGATTTAGTGCCTTCCTATTGGTGCTGTCCTCTCAATAGTGAGTTCTTGCAAGATCTGATATTTTTCAAAGTGCCATTTCCCCCGCCTTGCACCTGCTTTCACTATGTGTCATGCTTGCTCCCATTTCACCTTCTGCCATGAGTAAAAGCTCCCTGAGGCCTCCCCAGAAGCTGAACAGATGCCAGTGCCAAGCTTGTACAGTCTGCAGAAGCATGAGCCAATTAAACTTCTTTTCTTACCCAATCTCAGGCATTTCTTTATAGTGTCAATCAAGAAAAATGATGAGGCAAGTCTCAATCATTTTAGGAGGTTTGTTTGCCAAAGCTAAGGTTTGTTTGCCAAAGCTAAGGACAGGAACCCATGACACAGCCTCAGGAGGTTCTGACAACATGTGCCCAAGGTGGTCAGGGCACAGCCTGGTTTTATACATTTTAGGGAGACATGAGACATCAATCAATATAGGTAAGAAGTGCATTGGTTTCGTCCAGAGAGGTGGGACCAACTCAAAGCAGGGAGGGGGCTTCCAGGTCACAGGTAGGTGAGAGACAAATGGTTGCATTCTTTCAGTTTCTGATAAACCTTTCCAAAGGAGGCAATCAGAATATGCCTCTATCTCAGTGAGCAGAGGGATGACTTTGAATAGAATGGGAGGCAGGTTTGTCCTGAGCAGTTTCCAGCTTGACTTTTCCCTTAGCTTAGTAATTTTGGGGCCCCCAAGATTTTCCTTTCACAATAGCAATGCAAGAAAAGACTAACACAGTATCTCATTCTCATGGATTAGAATAATTAATATTGCTAAAATGTCTATACTACCTGTATTAGTTCTCACACTGCTATGAAGAAATACCTGAGACTGGGTAATTTATAAAAGAAAGAGTTTAATTGACTCACAGTTCCCCATGGCTGTGGAAGCCTCAGTAAACTCACAATCATGGCGGAAGGCACCTCTTCACAGGGCAGCAGGAGAGAGAATGAATGCTGAGCAAAGGGGGAAAAACCCCTTATAAAACCATGATATATCATGAGAATTCATTTACTGTCACAAGAACGGCATGGGGGTAGCTGTCCCCATGATTCAGTGAGCTCCCACTGAGTCCCTCCCACAACATGTGGGTATGATGGGAACTGCAGTTCAAGAATGAGATTTGAGTAGGGACACAACCAAACCATATCACTACCTAAAGCAATCTACAGATTCAATAAAATTTCTATCAAAATATAAATGACATTTTACACAGAAACAGAACAAAACAATTCTAAAATTTACATGAAACCAAAAAGAAACACAAATGGCTAAAGTAATCCTAAGCAAAAAAAGAATAAAACTGGAGGTATCACACTACCTAATTTCAAATTACACTACAAAGGTATAGTAACCAAAACAGCATACTACTGGCCTAAGAACAGACATCAACCAATGGAACAGAAGAGAGAACCTAGAAACAAATCCACACACTTACAGCCAGTTCATTCTTGACATAGATGACTAGAACACACACTGGGAGAAGGACACTCTCTTTAATAAATGGCATGGGAAAACTGGACATCCTAATGCGGAAGAATGAAACTACATCCCCATCTTTCACTATATACAAAAATCAACGCAAACTGGATTAAAGATTGAAATGTAAAACCTGAAACTATGAAACTACTAGGAGAAAACATAGAGTAAATGCTGCAGAACTTTGATCTGGGCAAAGATTTTGGAGGTAAGAACTCTACAGCATAGGCAATAAAAACAAAAATAGACAAATGATATTACATGAAGCTAAAATGCTTCTGCACAGCAAAAGAAACAATTTTAAAAAGCGAACATACATCCTACAGAATGAGAGAAAATATTTGCAAACTATTCATCTGACAAGAGACTAGTAACCAGAATATATAAGGAACTCAAACAACTCAATAGCAAAAAACAAAAATCCACTTTAAAAATGGGCAAAGGATCTGAATAAACATCTCTCAAAAGAAGACATACAAATGGCCAACAGGTATACAAAAAGATGCTCAACATCAATAATTATCAGGGATGTGAAAATCAAAACCACAATTAGGTATCATCTTACCCAGTTAAAATGGCTATTACCAAAAAGACAAAAAATAATAAATACTGGCAAGGATGTAAAGAAAAAGGAAAATGTATACACTATTGGTAAGAATGTAAAATAGTACAACTAGTATGGAAAACGGTATAGAAATCCTCACAAAACTAGCAATAGGCCTACCATACAATCCAGCAATCTCACTGCTGGATATATACCACCCCCACTACCACGACAAGGAAATCAGTGTATCAAAGAGACATCTGCACTCTTGTGTTTATTGCAGCACTATTTACAATAGCCAAGATATGGAATCAACCTACATTTCCATCAACAGATGATAGGATAAAGAAAATGGGGTACATATACACAATGAACTAGTATTCAGCCATAAAAAAGAATGAAATCCTGTCATTTGCAGCAACTGGATGGAACTGGAGGTCATTTTGTTACATGAAATAAGCCAGGCACAGAAATACCAATTACCCCACATGTTCTCACTCATATGTGAGAAATAGAAAAGTTGATCCCATGGAGGTAGAAGATAATAATGGTAATTACCAGAGGCTGTAAAGGTAAGTGGGAGTAGGGGAGGAGAAAGAGAAGTTGGTTAATGTTTGAAAAAATACCATTAGATAAAAGGAATAAGTTCTAGTATTCAATAGTACAATAGGAAAATTATAGTTAAGAATAGTGTATTGTATATTTTGAAATAGCTAGAAGAACTTTAATGTTTTCAACATAAAAGAATGATAATTGTTTGAGGTATCCCAGTTACCCTGACTTGATCATTACACATTACATGCTTGTATCAAAATATCACATATACCCCATAAATTTGTGTAACTATTATATATCTATAAACATATTTTAAATGAGTAAAAACATTTATGTTTTGAACATGAATTATTCTGTCTTTATGAACTTGCTTGTAGAATTTACAAAAATATTCTGAATTATTGATGTCTAAATTCTTAAATTTTAGTGTTTTGTAAAGCATAACACACTAAAGGTAGAAAATGTTAACTCTGAGTCAGAAACCACTCACAGATTTCTTAAAGCCAAGAAAGTAAACAGGAACAATGTAATCAGTACCATCAAATCTATATCCAAGTTGTAATCTACTGTGGTAAAATTAGTCGGTTTGGTAAATTGTGAATGGATTAAAGAGATAATGGTAAGCATTTGCATTCTTGTCATACTATAAATATAAAAGGTGTCATGTCAATCCAGCAAAGGGTATTGTAAAAATAATCTATAATAAAAACATATCTATTTTTGATAGCCCCAAATCCATTTCACGGAAAGCCCTGATGGGGCCAAGAATAGGAAAAGTAGAGGATGCTGGATGATGGTGGTACAACTCCATGGCATCATGTGGAAAATTATCAGATTGCAAGTTCTCTGGGCTGGGCTTTCTACTTAAATACACAACATACACTCATTTATTCTTGTTAGTCCTGGTCCCCCGGAAGCAGACACTAAGATGTAGTCAGAAATTCAAGAGGTATAATGCACTTGTGCAAGATAAGGAGTAGGGGGAGAAAGTGTAGGCAGAGATAGCCTACAGTCCACCATGCAAGTCCGACACCTGAGAAAGAAAAGCCATAAGGAAGAAAGATAGAGGGGGAAGCGCCTCACACTGTGGTGTAGAAAATCTTTTTGGTGCAGAAAATCTCAGTGAGCCCAATGGGGAGCTCTAGTGCACAGATTCCTAACAGAGGAGTTTCAGATTAAGAGGAAATTGCCATGCCCTAATATCGCTGCTTTGTTTAGTTATCTAGCACCCCTGATGTGCTTAGTGTCTCCAGGGAGCTGACTGGAGAGAGTTGGAGGCTGTCAGCTCACTACACTCTTTGTGGCAGGCTCTCTCAAGGAAAGATCTAATACACCTCCGTGACTGTCACATTTCCTATTCAAATTATAGTGGCCCTTGAAGTTTTCTTTCCCCATAATGATAACATAGCTTTTGAATGCCAAATGTAATATATACTATCTTAGCAATATGTCATGTGGACAATTTGATCTTGCACTTACTGTGAAAGTAAATTATATACAAGAAAAGTTTCCAAGAAAATGCAACAAGACCATATACAATGCAGAAAGAATTAAAATGGCATAAGGCTTCTCAATAGCAACAGCAGAAGCAAGGGGAAAACAAATCAGTGTTTTTTAAGTGCTGAAGAAACTTTAAATTAGGATTTTATGTCTAGATAATCATTTAAATGTAAGGTAAGTTGAAGATGTTCTCAAGCATACGAAGTCTCAGAAATTTTATCACACTAAAACTAAAACCATTATTGAAAACACTTTTGGAAATAATAACACTTTTTATTTAACCACTATCAAAAATAGAAAAAAAAAACAATAAAAACAGAAAGAAATGAAAACAATGCATCAATAAGTGAAATGGGAGAGTTCTCTAACCCTCCTCACAGGACACGTGACAAGGATGTGGCTCATCTGTTTGGCCGCTGCCACTTTTCAAAGCTTTCATGGGAGGGAGAGCACATAGATGGGCAGGTGCAGGAGCCAGGGTATGTGCTTTTGGGCTTTGGCCCGACAGTGATGTCTAGGGATGTGTGCCTGTGACTCTCAAAGCCCCCATGGGTGTGCTACTGTGCTCTTTTAGCTCTGCCATCCACAGACAGCTTAAGTGTTAACCAGCTTAGTGCCCTCTTGGTACACAGGTTCTTGTCTGGCATCCAGGAAGAAAAAGGTTACACATGGACGTGAAGGATGGTGAATGCAGGGATTTTACTGGGTAATGGAGGTGGCTCTCAATGGGATGGATAGGGAGCTGGAAAGGGGATGGAGTGGGAAGGTGATCTTCCCCTGGAGTTTGGCCGTCCAGCAGCTGATCTCCCCTCTGACCATCCCCAGCAAAACTCCTCTTGATATTCAGGCACTCCTCTTCTCTCCTTCTCTGCCATGCCATTCTGCCACTCTTCTGCTCTTCTGTTTGTCTGGTTGTCTGCTCATCTGCTCATGGTGCCTGTGGTTTATAGTGTTTATGTGTACAGGATAGTGGGGGGTGGCAGGCCAAAAAACAGCTTTGGGGCACAAAAACAGGAATGCCTGTTCCCATTTAGGTCCTTGGGTTTCCAGGCTTGAGGGTGGGGCCTTTGTCAGGGAACTGTCCTCTTCCACCCAGTATTTCCCTGACCCCTGTTTGTATCATAAGGATTCTGAGATTAAACTAATAATAATGTCAATGTAGTTGAAGGATGATAGAATGGTTGGTGGGAGTTAAAAGTGGGCTAAGATACTGATCTTGGAAGGGAACATATCCATATTGTGTTAGGCTGGATTTTCCCAGAATCAGACCCTGAGCCAAGGATTTTAGTGCAAATTTTTGCATGCGTGTGGTGATCTCAAAAAGCACCAATACAGGACTGCAGAAGTGAAATAGAGAATAACAGAAAACGAATCTGAATTCAGGATACCTTAACAAGCAGGTTACCACTTGGTGAAATTGGATTAGGTCTCACTGGGCCCCTCCAGTAGATGTAGAATTTGCCTCAGAGTTGTTCCATTCAAGGGGCAAGAAAGGTGGAGATTGGCTTCTGGACGGCCAAACTCCAGGAGAAGACCAATTTCTACTCCTCATTGTTTAAAAGCTGTGCTCATGGACAGTAACTCCCTGGAGATTACAGAGGCCAAGCACCCTCCACCCAGGAAACCCTCTGACTAAGGGATGCAGGTACCTCAAGTAAAGAAGTTATTGGCATGTATGGGAAACATAATTGCATAGGGGATATGGCTGTAACTGCTCTACTGTACCCACTGTACTGCACAGATTCACTCATGCTTTGAATTAAATTCCCTCCATCTAGTCACTATTCTTCAATGTAGTGGCTAGTCACAATTTTAAAATAAAATGAAATTAAATACTAACAATAGGAGGCCAATGGGACAAACTGCAGCCTCTGCTGCTGCAGTTGGCCTGAGGCTATGACTGCTATTCATCATCTTACCTTTTTAGCAGACATTTTACATTTCACTCAACCTTGGCCAGCACTTCTAGTCTAAGTTGCTTCACTTTAATGAAACTCAGACCCACATCCCTGAGGGATCTGATCACCTTTTTGTTGTTCTCTAATCAGTTCATGGTTTCTGCAATTGCCTGTTCACTGTGATCATTAGACATAGAAGCACCTAGAGGAACCTGGTGAGTCTCCTAAATTCAAGGCATAATTCTCCTTGCTGCTATTAAGTAGTAGTAACTTTATCTCTCCACGACATTAAGGATCAATTACACCTTCTGCATAGTAATTCCGGTCTTTGTTTGCTGGCCTATTGGCCTAAGGAGCCAAAAATAGCCAGTGGCTGCCAGAGCTTCAAATTTAGTAGAACGTTACTGATCCCTTTTAGTCCAGTATAACACAAGTTTTGCAGATGAAAGCACAAACCTCCAAAGTGGTGCATTGTGAGTAATAATAAGACCCACTCCTTCTTCTATCCTTTGATTCCTGAAACCGTATGTTCTAGCTGTCACAGTGATAGGATATATAATGGCCATTGGTTCAAAATATATATCATATCCTAAAAAACAGCACTCAAAAGCCACAATGTCATCCACAAGCCTTATTGTTAAGAGGCCATTTTGTTGAAACAGACAAGAGGCAGGGAAACACTAGGCAGAAAGGGGCGGGGTGCCTAGCAAAGCCCCACCCTCAAGCCTGGACCCATGGCCCAAAGTGAGAACATGCATTCCTGTTTTCCCACCCAAATGTTGCCTTTTCCAAAACCACGTGGGCTCACCCCAGCCCCCATCTTGTACTCATAAAACCCCCCAGGCCCCACTAGCAAAGCAGCAGATTGGCAGAGAAACAGAGAAGAAGCAGCATGACATCAGCAAGAAGCACCTTGTCTTCAGAGGGACAGCTTAACGACTATACATTAGAGAAGAGTTCAGCTGGTAATGGTTGAATTCCAGGGGAAGACCACCTTCCCACTCCATCCCCTTTCCAGTTCTCCATCCTGCTGAGAGCCACTTTCATCAGCAATAAAATCCCCCACATTTACCATCTTCAATTTGTTCATGTGTCCTGATTCTTCCTGGATGCCCAACAAGAGCTCGGGATACAGAGGGCTGTCAAACTGAGTTGTTAAACACTTAAGCCATCTGTGGATGGCAAAGCTAAAAGAGCATCGTAACACATGCCCTCTGGCATATATCCAGGGGTCATGGATATCCCTCTAGATGCTGCCGCAGGGCCACACAGAGTTCTGCTCCTGCCGGCACCCAAAAACACTCGTCCCAGGCCCTGCACCTGCTCATCTGTGTGCTCCCCATTCCAAGAGGGGTTGAGCAGTGTGGGCTGAGTAAACAAGCCAACCCCTTTGCAAGTCCTGTGAAGGGGTCCAGGGAACAATTCTGTTTCACTATCAGACTTACAGATTAGGGTAATGTGGTATATGGTAAGACCAGTGGATCCTGGTCACCTGCTATTTTCATCCCTCCTTTGACATAAAGGGGCCCAATGCAACCAACTTGCCACAAAGTTGATCTCTATTTGAGGACTCAGCATCAGTTTCTGCTGCTGGCAGATTTCACGTAATCAATAGCTGCAGTAGTTAGATTAATGTTGGTAGGAGGAATCTGTACTGTTGAGCCCATGTTTAGCCTCCATCTCCACCATCATGACCACTCTTTGTGGGTTCATTGTGGGCATTGGCATGGCCAAGATAACAGAGGCTAGCTAACTTAGATGAGTTATTCTGCACACTTGATTGTTTGAATCCTTCGCTTTATTTTATGCTCATCCCAAAGATGTATCTACAAGATTCTTCCCCAGTCTTTTTTGAAGCTGATCTTCCAATCTTATTCTGAGCTCCTGACCCACCAGACAACCTACATGGCACTTTCCAAAATATTATGTATAGTCTTCTTTCAGAACACTTTTCTATCCACAAAGGTGCCGACCTAGTGTGCTGCTTGAACCCCAGCCCTGGAGGATTTTCCTTCATCATTGTTTTTCAGGGCCACACCTGAGTAGGTCTATAGTAGAGCAGCAGTTCATTTTTAGCTCATTCCAACATATTAAGCCAGCTCATCTATAGAACTAAACATAAAAGAATGCCTTTAATAATCCCATATGTTTGGAGATTTTAAATAGCATACTACTAAGTGACCCTTTGGGTAACAAAAAAAAAAGTGGAGGGGAACTTATGGTATACTTGGTATTATACATCAAATCTATGGAACATTACTCAAGTAATGCTTAATGGAAACAGTATAGTTTTGAATACATCAGAGAACTGGAACAATTAAAAATAAATGAGCTAAGGGTTCAAGAAGCTAGAAAGGACAGAAATAAAAAAGATAGAGACATCACAAAATAGAGAACAGCAACAAAACAAAATAAAAAATTTTTGAAAATCAACAAAACAAAAGCTGGGTTCTTTGGGAAGACATATAAGATGGACATATAAATATTGATGACTTAGAACCTCTTCTAGGTAAAATGCCCAGAGACAATCTTATACAGGCCCATAAAGGAACAGATACAAGTTTCTCACATTATTACTTATGAAAGTGAGGACTTGAAGACATCTTAGTTGTTCATCACCTAGACAGTAGATAGGTTAAATGTGATGATGCATGTTGCAGAATGTTATGAAGTAGTCAAAAATAATGAATTAGACGTAATCAAAGCCAATGGGTAGATCTTGAAAACATGCTGTTAAGTAAAAACAAACAAACAAAACAAACAAGAAAACCCTAGTGGAATATCATTTGTGTAAATTAAAAACAAGTGAATACAAAAGAAATATTATGAGTTTTTTAAAGATACAAAAAATCTCCTAGAATATATCCTGGGGAGAAGGGACTAGATATGAAAGGGAATAGAATCTGAAGAGGAAATATAATAAAGTTAAATGAGACAAAAATCGAACGAGAGGGCTGTACAAATAATCACAGCACAACATGATCCAAAAGTGAAACTAAAAACTACTTTTGCCAGAGGTTAAAAAAATAGTGTTATGTTACTATTTACTATTAATCACGTGAAATGGAAATTGTATTTCACATAATAAAAAGATCACACTCTTTCATAGAGCCCAGTTAATGGACATCTCTCTTGGAAAGATTTTGGGATTTGCTTTCTGAATCAGGTTTCCCCTTGGGTTTCATTTTGCTTTATCTCTGAGCAAACTTTAGCCATAACATTCTGAATCTCCTATTTGATAATCCAATATTATCAATTTAAATTGAATAAATGTTAATCCAATTTAAACCTTTAGATTATTATCATTCCAAATGAGTCAATTAAAATAATAACATGCAATGAAAAAAGTCTCTAGTATAATTTGTAAATAGAAAATACAGAAAGCGTCTTGTACTTAAAGTTATCTAAACAAAATGTATTTATTCTTATGTGTCAAGTGTATTAGGCCAATAGTTCTAGATTTTGAAATTCTCATAATCCAATAAGAAATGTTTTTCTAGTAAACAGCAAAATAAAATTCTAAAAACAGGTATTCAGCAAAATAAAAAATTTTATTGCATCATAATCAATTTTATAATTATAAAAATTTTTTTTAATTTTATATTTAAATAGGAAAGCTAGGAATCATGGAAAAATGTAGTTAGCCAAACATTAAACTATTCTAAAAATAACTTATTATATTATCTAATCCTAAAGTCTTAGCTTTTATCACATTTTAATGTTTTAATTCTCTTTTTTACTTTAAAATATTTTAATGATCTTTAAAGTAGCTGTACCTTAAGGCATTTTTAGATTAGTATCTAAATGCTTATTTACTTATGCTCCAACAACTGACTATCCTTAATGGAGATATTGTTTATCTCTGTTTTAGATACTTACAGAACATAACAACCAAATTATCTATTCATGCATTTTCCATTGTATTGAAACTGGTGATAGCTTTGTCTTAAGCCAAACATAGTTTTGTACAGAAACAGACATACTTAAATTTGGTGATCAATTTTGGAATCCAGAGAGAATAGAACTCTCCTTTATGCAAAAATAATTGTCCCAAAGAAATCTTGGCTTCAGAACCTCAAGTTATCAAGGCTGTCAGAGGTCTTATGATAGTCCATAAAAACCATTTGCTAAATAAATCATTTGTGTTGAAACTATAATTTACATGATTTGGTATACTGGGAATATAGCTGGTACTCAAGTAATACTTTTGAAGGAATGAAGAGCCCACATATACAATTATAGCATACCATTTTTATTTAAATAGCCTTCATTGAACTCTTCTGTCTGGAATAGTAATGGGAAAGTTCAGGAGACAGGAGATAGGGCCTGGAAGGTAGTGCAGATGGGGCTGAGTGTGAGTTTTGTCTATAAAAGGCCTCTGGCTGAGTATGGGTGGGGAGGTTTTATATGTCCTTGAACATGAGACTAGGTGACTTTTAGAACAGTTGTAGATCAGATGTAAACATGCATATGCATGCATTCATGTTATTTCATAGGCTATTGAGATTTTATTGCAATTAGTTTCACTTTCAGTTTCTCAGAGTGAAAGGGTCTAGTTTGGCAGTGTTGCCTTAACGGGCACTGCAGCCTTACTGGCATCAGCTGTTCAATTTAGCTCCCTTTAAACCTATTTAACAAAGGACTAGCATCCTATACCAAACTTTTACAACCTTTTACCAAACCTTTTTCTGATCTGTGCCGATCAGAAGCTTTTGCTAATTCTGCATGTTTAATTCACCTGGGGTTTTTTTGCCCAGGGTTTATTTGACAATAATTTTCTTGTTCTCAGTATCTCCTCTCACTGTGATTTTCAGAACATGATTTGGCTCCTGTCACACTCGGTGCTTTTGGGGAATCTCTCCTGTTGAGTTCTACATCTTAATAACTTCCCTAGATTTTGTGTTTTGTTCTTAGGGCAGCCGTGATGTATAAATGAGCCCTTCCAATGCCTCAGTTGTTGAGCTATATGATTTTACATATATGATTCAATTTCCAAATCCCTCTTTGATCTGTGAGCTCCTCAAGGCCAGAGCTGTGACTTATCCATCTTTGTATGTCCAGTATCTAGATTACAGCCTGAAATGCTTCAGGCATTCAGTAATAGCTGAAATGAACAGAAAGAGAAGCAGAATGGGACTTGAACTTGGAAGAAGTTTATTCTAATGACCAAATTTTTTCATTCTATATGTCATATTTATTGCCAAGTTGTTTTATAGCACTTTCTTTTCATGTATACACTTGCTACCAACCGCACAACAAAGTAGAAATTACTATCCTCATTTTATTAAAAAAAATAAAATAGTAAAGCTAGTAGTTTGCCTGAGGCGAAACAGGATTAGTTTAAGTAGAAAAATTTAATTACATTTTAAAAGTCTTAGCTCTTCTATCCCAATTCAACTGATTAAAAAATAGATATAGAATTTCTCCCAATTCCAACATGTTATCAACCATGGAAGCAGAAATATATGGGGGGAAATGGCCTGTTTAGAATAGGAGTTTGGCTGGGCAAGATGGCTCACATTCCTAATATCAGCATTTTGGGAGACGGAGGCGGGAGGCTCACTCAAAGCCAGGAATTCAAGAGCAGCCTGGGCAACATAGTAAGACCTAGTATTAGTTCATTTTCACACTGCTAAAAAGAACTTCCCTGAGACTGGCTAATTTATAAAGGAAAGAGGTTTTATTGTCTCACAGTTCCACTTGGCTGGGAAGGCCTCAGGAAACTTACAATCATGCAGAAGGGGAAGCAGGCATCTTCTTCACAAGGCAGCAGGAGACAGAGAAGTGGAGGAAGAACTTCCAAACACTTATAAAACCAACAGATCTCGTAAGAACTCACTCACTGTCATGAGAACAGCATAAGGAAACCACCCCCGTGATCCAATCACCTTTTCCCTCCACACATGGGTATTACAGGTCCTTTCCTAGAGATGTGGGGATTACAATTAGAGATGAGATTGGGTGGGGACACAGAGCCAAACCATATCAGACCTCATCTCTACAAAAAAAAAAAAAAGAAAAGAAAAGAAAAATCAAATGAATAATAAATAAATAAGTTTTAAAAAATAAATAAGAGGCTGTTGGATCTTACCTAATAGGGCTTGGATTACCATTCAAACAGACCTAAAGGAATTCTATACCAACCCACCCACCCAGAAATAGAAAGGAGAAGGAGCAAAAAAGAGTATAGGCAATTCTGTCTATATTTAACATTCAAGAAGTCATCAAAAAAGACCCAAGATTAGAAGGTCTGATTTTACAAACTGTCTTTACAGTATACCACAAACCAAATAAAACTTCAGGGAAAAAAGGGTCTACTTTCTGGTTATCTATTGCATTTTATCATTTTATTCTAGTAATCTATTGCTACATAACAAATTACCCCAAGATTTAGCAGTGTCAAACAACAATTTTCATTACATTATATCTCACAATTTTGTGGGTAAAGAAGTTGAACAGATCTGAGCTGAGAGACTCTTCTGCTCCGTGTGGGATTGATTGAGATAATCACTGGCACCTTTGTTAAAAAGTCTAAAAGGCTGACTTCAGTTGAAACTACTAAACAGAGCACCAACATGTGACCTTACCATCACGGCAGTTGCAAGATAATATTTCTTATATGACAAGCTACAGCTCCCAGAAAGAGTTTTGTAAGTAACAGTTAGTAAAAGCTGTGAGTTTCTTAAACCCTGTTCCCAGACACTGGCATAGCATCATTTCTGCCATAATCTATTTGTCAAAGTAGTCATTGAGCCCACTATGATTTAAATGAGGGGACATAGATCTTCAAGTTAGGATGGGAGGAATGTCAAGGAATTTGGGGTAATATTTAATCCACCACACAGCCCAATTAACTTTTAACATTTCTTGCTTGTAGATGATATTTTTCGAAATTTTTTTTTTGCAAAACCAAAAATGAAGAAAGAAAGCTTTGTGTTCCTCTCTGTTCTCAGAGTACTACTCTTATAGCTGTATACCATTCTACCTTATATTATGGCCACTGTATGTATTTTGTCACCACAACTAAAGTAGACACTAAGATATTTTTACATTTATGCTTAAGTTATTTATACACCAATATAAATGAGTAGTTCAGGAAGAAATTTCATAATACCTACAGCCGTCTGCACTCTTTCCTTCTTGGCCTCTGACCGTTTAAATACCTCCAGACTCTGCTCTTTGAAGAGCAGGCTGAGTGTTCTTCCATATCAGCACCTCAGCATACACCAGAACTTCTCTCACTGTTGTTAAGCCGAAAAGTACTTTGGGGACCAGATAGACCAAACTTGCCATTTCACAGAAGTTAAAACAGATTCAGAGAAATTGATACGAACTCACCCAAATTATGCAAATAGTGTATGCACAAGCCAGAACTAACATCCAGGACTTGTTGAACATCTTCAGTTGTATTTACAGCATATGCATTTTGTGTTGGAAATTTTATTAGGAAACTAATAAACTATCAAAAAATGACAAATTAACTAAATCCAGAACACCAAATCATAGAAACTATTAAATTTCCTGACAGCAAGTTTTTAAAAAAAACTTAATTAAAACTATTAATCATCAGTCAATGCCTGTCTCATGGCTCAGTCTGATTAGTATTCATGACTCCTTTTTTTTTTTGAGACGGAGTTTCGCCCTGTTTCCAGGGTTGGAGTGCAGTGGCACCATCTCAGCTCACTGCAACATCCACCTCCACCTCTTGGGTTCAAGCAATTCTCCTGCCTTAGCCTCCCTCCCGAGTAGCTGGGACTCAGGCATGCGCCACCACACCCAGCTAATTCTTCTATTTTTAGTAGAGGCAGGGTTTCACCATGTTGGCCAGAATGGTCTCCATCTCTTGACCTCGTGATCTGCCCGCCTCAGCCTCCTAAAGTGCTAGGATTACAGGCGTGAACCACCGTGCCCAGCCGACTCTTACTTTTTTAAACTAACTTTCCTTCCTCAGCTGATCTTGCTGCTGCTTCTTTTTTTGTACACCATAAATGTATAAAAATTTTACCTGTCAATTTAAAAATAAATAATAGAAAATAAAAAACAAAAAAGACAATAGAGGATCTCAATAAAGTGAAAAGTTGGTTCTTTGCAAATATTAACAAATTGATGAATTTTTAGCAAGACCTGCCAAGAACAAAACAGACAAGACATAATTTATTAAAATCAGATATAAGGACATCACTCAGACCCCATAAAATTTAACTTTATACAGGCAAATCATGAACAACTTTATGCCAACAGATTAGAAAAAGTAGATGAAATTGAAAAATTCCTAGAAAGACACAAAAATGGCATCAGAAAAAAATCAGATCAGAAATATAATAGTAGAGAGGGTCAGCCATCATAAGGAATTGGTTACACACACATATACACACAAATATACAACAGAACAATTCACACATAAATAACATTAAGAAGAAATTTAATCTCTCATAAGTATAAAAACAGAACTTTATTTGGGACTAGTTGGTGAAAGATCAATCTAAATCAGTAAAAATACTTAATTTGGAATTTTTTTAATGTGGTTCCTTTCTTTTCCTTTTTTTTTTTTGATGGATTCTCACTCTGTCACCCAAGGTGGAGTGCAGTGACACGATCTCAGCTCACTGCAACCTCCGCCTCCTGGTTTCAAGTGATTCTCCTGCCTCAGCCTCCCAAGTAGCTGGGACTACAGGTGCCTGCCACCGCGCCCAGCTAATTTTTGTATTTTCAGTAGAGGCGGTTTCACCAGGCTGGTTTTGAACTCCTGACGTAAGTGATCCACCCACCTCGGCCTCCCAAAGTGCTGGGATTACAGGCATGAGC
The DNA here is from genome assembly GCF_000001405.40 of Homo sapiens. Lineage (NCBI taxonomy): Eukaryota > Metazoa > Chordata > Mammalia > Primates > Hominidae > Homo > Homo sapiens. The sequence goes on from NC_000003.12 coordinate 88,036,237, forward strand.
CACCATGCCCGGCCTATTTATTTATTTCTATTATGTATTCTCAATTATTTCAGAGAGGTTCTGTAGGTGATAACCTTTGGAGGCTTTGCAGGCCAAAATATTTATTTATTTTGATCTCACATCTAAATTCTAGTTTGGATAAATATATACTTTATATACTTGCGGTTTCAAAATAATTCATACTCAGCATTTCAAGCATTTGTCTATTGACTTCTGCAGTATAATACCCATCCAATGCTACGTCACCGCTCAGCTTCAGGGAACATTTTCTGGACCCTGGGACACAAAGCCAGGGAATATCGTGCACATGGGGCTGCCTGGAGTTTGCAACAGCCAGTTACTGTGCAGACAGTGTTCTTTCTTTCTGGAAGCTTTTATAAATTTATTTGAGTCCTAATAGTTCTGAAATTTCACAAATAATTGTCTAAGGCAAAAGTTTCTTTTGTTTGTTTTTGTCTTAACATTTAGAGCTCTCTGAAATCTCAATACTTGTGGTTTAGGGGATTATGGGAAATTTTTCTCAGTTACATATTTGTTTATCTATCCCCCTCATTTCCCCCCTTTTTTTTTTTTTTGTCTTCTTGGTACTACTAACTGATAGCGTTATGTATGGAGAGTTGTTCCTTCTTTTTTTTTTACTTTTTTTTTCTTATGGTAGCCATCTCTTTGCCATTTGCTCTATAGTTTGGGGGAGTTCTGTAACTTTATTTTCCAAATCTTCCACTGGTATTGACTGTTTCTTAAATTTTACTTTTTTTAATTTGTAAGAACTATGTTTTCCTCTGATTGCCACCTTGTCATTGCTGTCTGTTCTTATTTTGTGGATATTTTATCCTACTCTATGACACCTTCTCTGAAGATAGTCAATTCAGTTTTTAAATGTTCTCTTATGGTTACTTGGATCATCTAATTGCCCATGTTAGTGAATGCCTTTGGTTTTGTCAAACATGTGGTAAACTATTTGACTGATGCTCTAAGTTGATGAGTGAAGGTTCTGTTATGGATTGAATTGTGTCACCCAAAAAGATACTTTGAAATCCTAGACCCCATCCCAGAGAAAGTGACTTTATTTGGAAATACAGTCTTTGCAGATGTAATCAAGTTAAGATGAGGTCATTAGGGTGGCCCTAATTCTATATGACTGGGGTCCCCTATAAAAAGGGAGATTTAGGTCCACATACAGAGGGAGAATGCCACGTGCCAACAGAGGCTGAGATTGAATTCCTGCAACTAGAAACCAAGGAACATCAAAGATTGCCCACAAACCACCAGAAGCTAGGAAGAGGCAAGGAAGGATTCTGCCCTACAGGCTTCAGAGAAGAATGACCCTGCTGCACCTTGATTTCAAACTTATAATCTTTAGAACAGTGGGAAAATATAATTGTGTTGCTTTAAGCCACCTAGTTTGTAGTGCCCTGTTACAGTAGCCCTGGGAAGCTGATACAAGTGGATTTCCTGGGTTTCATTTGCAGCTGTGTGAGTCCTTTTCCTCCCAATCTTCTCCCCTGAATAGAAGAACTTTGTAAGTGAGGCAGTACTCAAAAGTCTACATAGGTGAAGAGCAAACAAACCAAAACAAACAAACAAACAAACAAAAAAAACAAGGCTATGCCTCCCCATCCTCCAGAAGGAAGGCTTTACTTGAGTGATGCATGAGTCAGGGTTTTATTCAGGGCTCACTCGCATTAGGGAGGGCAATCTTCTTTTCTCAGTCCACCAATTCAAGTGTGAATTTCATCCTAAAACACCTGCATAGACACACCCAGAATAAAGTTTGACCAAATAGCTGGCCACCCCATGACCTACTCAATTCACACATAAAACTATCATAAACCTACCCCTTGTCAACTTGGTACCCATATACGTGTCCTTAAACCATACTCAATCTCAAAAAAGACAACAAGGTCGTATTTCCTCCTATCATAATAAAACTATTCTGTGTACAACCAGAAACACACTAACATTTTAGAAGAGGAGATAAAGTCCTGAAATGATGTTAACTCTTCTCCCTGATGTCCTGTAACTTACATACAATGATGTAAAGTCAACACATCTTATTTTACATGATGAGGGGGGATGAGGGAAGAAAACAAAAATATTTGCTTTATCCATCTATCTACACACACACACACACACACACACACACATTTGTAACAAAATAAGGAGAAAATATTCATTACAATTATAGTCCTCATTTTGCATTTCTGTAACTGGCCATTTGGCTATAGCTGGTATTTTTGACTACCTTCTTTCACTACTTAATCTGTATTCCCTTTGCCTTCAGCAAAAACTTAAGCAGCCATAATTCTTTACATAGTGGGTAGCCCAAGTTTTCCTTCCTGAAAAGTCTGAGCTATTAATAGCCCTGCCTGAATTGGATCGTTGCAGTTTTACATTGGCCTTAATCACAGAGCATAGCAGTAATAACAGACACCCTAAGGGACCTCTTGTAGACTAGACATACTCATCCTTACCACCATTGTTGTGTAATGGTTCTATTCCCCTTGGTAGTCAGGATCAGTCACCCCCATCAGAACACTAACTCCCTTCTTTGCCTGGTGATTCATAGGCATGAGGAGCCCAAAGGGCCCAAGAGGCAGTCTTAACTTCCAGTTAAATGGACTCACTGTGTCTCGTGGTGGAAGCATTCCTTTCTTTGGAACTAAGACTTCTAGACCAGCAGAAGATAAGGCTGAGGAATCAGGAAGCAAAAATTTTGCTAGTGGGTCATTAGGGGTACCAGTGAATGGTGCTTCTCCCATTTTCAGCCCTTGATTCTGGGACTCATGAATCCTGGCCATGGGAGAAACAGCACCATGTATTGAATGCTGATCCAAAGCATACAAAGCCTTCTGAAGAGCCTTGTCCTAGCCTTGAAAGATAATGCCACCTAGCTGGTTCTGGAACTCTGTCTTTAGAAGGTCATTTCACCACTCTGTTAAGACAGCTTCTTGCAGATGATGAAAAATATGGTAATACTAGGGAATGCATGAGCATGCGCCAATTGCCGTACTTTATTTGCTGTAAGTTGAGTTCTTTGATGAAAACAAATGCTGTATAGAATACTATTATGGTGTATAAGACATGCTGTAAGTTCACAGATGATAGATTGGGTAGAAACAGTGTGTGCAGGGAAGGCAAATCCATATCAAGAGTGTCTATTCTGGTAAGAACAAGATGTTGCCCCTTCTATGATGGAAGAGGTCCAATGTAACCTGCCACTAGACAGCTGGGTGACCACCCCAGGCAATTGTGCCTGTTAGTGTTAGTCTCTGCCACTGGCAGACTGCGAACTCAGTGGTGGCTATAGCCACGTTGGCCTTGGTTGGTGGGATTTTATGCTACTGAACCCATACATAACCTCCATCCTGCTGAAACAGGAGAGTTCCCTGAACCCCTCATGGGACGTGCGACCAAGGTGTGGTTCATTTGTTCGGCCACCATGCACTCAAACCCCTTATGGGAGGAGGAGCATGCAGGTGAGCAGGTGCAGAGGCCAGGGCAAGTGTTTTTGGGATCCAGCCTCACAGCAGTGTTTAGGGGTGTTACAGTGGTCTTTTAGCCCTGCCATTGGGGACAGTTTAAGTGTTAAACAGCTCAGTAAAAAGGCAGTGTGACAGCCTTTTTGGGTTCCCACACCCAATACATCCCAAATTCTTGTCTTGCATCCAGAAAGAATCAGATCACTTGGACTTGAAGGATGGTAAATGTGGGGATTTTATTGAGTGATGGAGGTGGGGAACTGGAGAGGGAATGGAGTGGGAAGATGATCTTCCCTTGGAGTTTGGCCGTCCCCTGGCCAATCCCCTCTCCAACTGCCCCCAGCCGAACTCCTCTTGATGTTCAGATGCTTTCTCTCTTCTCTACTTCTCTGCCACACCACTCTGCTGCTTTCTGCTCATGGATCCTGGGGTTTGGGGTTTATATGGACAGAGGATAGGGGGCTGTGGTGGGCCAAAGGCAATGTCTGGGGCAAAAACAGGAATGCCTGTTCTTATTTAGGGCCACAGGTCTAGGCTTGAGGGTGGGGCCCTTGCCAGGGACCCTGCCCTCCTCCCACCTGCCTGTATCACTGCCACCATGGCCGCTTTTTTCATGAGCCCACTGGACAATGACAGGGATGGTTGGGGAGAGGCTGATTAGTATCCACAGAACAGGCCATCCTGTCTACTTAACTCCTAAAATCCTCCTCTGCTGAGGTCGCATGTTGGTGAACATTCCCATGGGATACAAATATCTCCACGTTTTTTGCCTATTTAAAGTGGTCTATCCACATATCCTTTCCTCAGATTTCCTTGTCACCAATTTTCGAATCATGTTCCTTCCAAGTCCCTCACCATTTAGCCAAATCACAGGCCGTAGCCCATGAATCAGCATATAATTGCATGTCTGGCCATTCAAAGTGAAAAACCAGGTGCACTGCTCAACATTCTGCACATTAAGATTTCCCTTCATCTTGGTCCTTCATAGCCTCCAGGAAAGGGCTGTATTGCTGCAGCTGTTCACTTTGGGCTAGTGCCTGCATATTATGCGAAACTATCTGTAAACCATACCTGAATCTTATCTTCCTCCACCAAGTGAATGTAGAGAACTTCCAGTGAGGCCATAGGTGCAGGCTGGGAGAGAGAAGGTAATGTAGCAGGTAGGGAGACCGTGAGCATTTTGACCACTTATTCATGTAAGATACTTATACCTGATTTAAATATTTATCACTTCTATTGGATGATGGAGTGCTACTGTTCACACCTAACTTTATGGCTAAGTAGATCAGATATCACTCCATTCATGATGGGCCACTCAGCTCATACGGTAACTTAGTGGTTGCCCATGGCTAAACAGTCAGCCTCTGCTAAGACTTAATAGCAAGCCAAGAGCTATTTCTCAAAAACAGAGTAGTTACCTGCAAAGGATAGCAGTGCTTTGCTCTAAATCCTAAGGGCCTACACTGTGACTCACCTCTAGGGGCCTGCCAAGGGCTCCAAATGGCTTCCCTATCTGCTGCAGACACTTCCAACACCACTGGATTGCAGGATCATATGGCCCTGGCAAAGAAGTTGCAAGGCAGCCTGGATCTGTGGCAGAACCTCCTTTTGTTCTGAGTCTCAGACAAAACTGGCTGTTTTTCCGATCATTCACTAGATGGGCTGGAGTAACATATCGAAATAAGGAATGTATTGCTTTCAAAATCCAAAGAGGCCCACGAAGCACTGTGGCTTTTTTTTTTTTTTTTTTTGTAGGAGGGGCCATAAGCAACAACTTATCCTCCATCTTAGAAGGAATATCTTGGCATATTCCACACCAATAGACCCTGAGGAATGTCATTGAGGTGGAAGATCACTATTTTTCCCCTATTTTGTTTGTCTTTTGTTTTCTTGACTTTATGGGCCTTCAATTTGTGTCCGATTTATTTCTCTGACATACAAATGTCTTACCAATACATCTAGGGTGGTGGCTACTTCTTGGCCACTAGGTCCAATTAACATACTATCATGGACCAGTGTGATCCCTTATAAAAGGGCAAGACAATAAAATGTCTGTGAACAAAATTATGACATATGGCTGGAGAGCTGAGAGACCCGAGAGGTAGGATCATGAAGATATATTTCTGGCTTTGGCAGCTAAAAGCAAACTGCTTCAAATGGTCTTTATTGACAGGTATGAAGGAAAAAGCACTTTTCAGATCAAGTACCAGGGGATGTGTTCATTTGCTCAAGAAATTAAACCACATCTGGTATAGCAGTTGCAATTGGAGTAACCACCTGGTGAGGCTTACAATAATCCACTGTCATTTTGAAAGGTCCATCTGTCCTCTGCACAGGCCAAATAGATAAGTTGAATGGTGATGTGGTGGGAATCACCACCTCTACGTCTTTCAAGTCCTTGAATGGGGGCACTGATCTCTGCAATCCCTTTAGGAATGTGCTCTGGCTTTTGTTTTATTGTATCCCTAGGTAGACGTAATTCTACTTGGCCTTTGCCACCGGAATAGCCCACACTCCACAGGTCAGGGCACCAATGTGGGGATTCTGTCAGCTGTTGAGTATATTTATGCCAATGATGCTTTCTGGAACTGAAGGAACAACCATGGGCTAGGCTTAGGGACTCACTGGACTCACTGTGAGATGGACCTCAACTAAAACTCCATTGATTACCTGAACTCCATAGGCCTGATTCTAAGCTGCAACATTAAATGCAGAATCTCTGCTTAGTGGGCTCATATTAATAAATTTGGCCTTACCCAACTTTATATTTCTTCCACTGTTATCCCACACCTTTAGTAACTATTCCCACATATGTTGCCCCTGGATTTCTTCTTGTGTAAATTAAAAACTCAAGTAATTCTTTTGGAGTGTAGCACTCCAACTTATGGACCACACTTTGTACCTCACCTCTAGGAACTTCTAGGGTCTTAAGTCTATTTAAGGGTCAAGAAGCAAGGAAAGGTGGTGGGAGTGAATCCTGAGAAGACTCATGGTTGTCTTGCATGGCAATTGCAACTGCTTTAGTGGAGGCCACTGCAATTTCCTCAGCTAATGCAGTGAATCTCCTCAGATGGGAATGGAGAGGCAGCTCTCAGTCAAGGTGGAGTGGCTTCTCCTACTGGGGTTCACGAGGGACCCCATTGACATTTAGGGGTTCAATGGCACTGAGGTTCATCAGGGCCTTCCCACACGGGCCCATGCCAACTTTCAGGATACCATTCCTTCCCAATCAATATCCTCACTTTAACAGTTCATACTTAACAAGGCTGGGAGTTCAACTTGCATTGTAATTCAGCAAGTCACAGAATGAGAATCTGGATTTGATTCTCAGCAATCTCAGCCCTGCAGCTACCAGAGCTAAGGGTCTTTTTCAGGGCACACATAGAAGCTTTTAGGTCATTTATGCAGCACTTGAGTTGGAAACTCAAATGCCTGAGCTCGTCGTTTTCTTTTCTTTTCTTTCTCCACTATGTTCAGTGACATTAGAAGCAACCAGCCCATCTCATTATACTCATTAGTTTGCCAAAAATATTTCAAAGTATCTTATACATAGTTAAACAGATTCTTGCTTCTTGTAAGTAGTTGAGTATCCAATGGTGATATTTTGTGTTTCTCCATTGTTACATCATGCCATGAACTATTAGTGCTCTTTTTACTACTGAAAATAAAATCATTAGTGTTTATAAATTTAATCAGCTTAGAGATCCAATTCCAGATATCCCAGAACTAATTCCTAAAACTCATCCTTAAAATTCTGTTCTTCTGGAATCACTCTTAGTGCCAAAATTTGTATTAGTTACCATCCTATATAAACAAATAGAACCAATAGGATGTATATATTCACAGAGAAAAAGATCTATTTATCTGGGTGAGAGAGAGATTTATTATAAAGAATTACCTCACACGATTATACAGAATGACAAGTCCCGAGAGGTGCAGTCAGCAAGCTGGAGACACAGAAGAGTTGGTGGTATCATTTCAGTGAGTCTGAAGGCCTGAAAACCAGGCAAACCAATCACGTGGCTTCATTCCAATTACTGATAGGCTCAAGACCCAGGAAGAGCCAATGTTTCAGCTTGATTTTGAAGGCAGAAAGAAACCAATGTCCCAGCACAAGGCAGTCAGGCGGTAGAAGACTGTCCCTTACTTTTGGAAGGGTCAGCCTTTTTATTCTATTCAAGTCTTCATCTGATTGGATGGGCCCCCCACACCCCACATTAGGGAGGGCAATCTGCTTTACTCAGTCTTCTGATTCAAGTGTTAATCTCATCCAAAACACGCTCATAGACATACTCCTAAATAATGTTTGACCAATATCCAGACACCCATGGCAAGCTGACACATAAAATTAACCATCAGAGATAGTAAAGAAGTTTGCTGCACTTAGGAGCTGGGCAGATAATTTCCTCCTTTCTTTCATTGACAGTAGTCTAAACATCACAAATTCCTCTTTGGAATAATGTTTTCTAGGCCTTTCTATGTTATAACACAAGCCATACTAGTGATAATAAGCAGTTCATTTTATTATAATGTTGTTTATAGGTTTTATATTCTACTCTTAAACCATTAAACAGTGCTACCTTGTGTTTAGCATATGTAAGAATTATAGTAAGAAACTGTATAATCATTTACCCTGATGATTATTTAGAGACAACATCTCCCCCTCTTCATTTTTGTTCACTTTCACTTGCCATTTTTCTGAATCTGCTCTGAATTCAGAAGTGGTTTTTTTCAGAAAGTGTTTTTCTTTGAAGCATTTTGAGCTTTGGATTTTCTCTGTTCTCTTGCTTCTCAATCAATTTAATACAATCTACTTTTCATCATTCATAAATCAACCTGTCCCTTGTCCGGAAATTCCTCAAGATATCTTATCTGCTCATAGTTTCCTTTCTTTCCTTTTAAGGCTACTATGAATTTCTTCTCAGTTATTAAGGTATTTGGTACACAGAAAAAGTTGTAATGAGGAGGTGTGTGGAAAATATGTTTCTAATAGGAAAGAGACAGACTAAACAAGCAGTCAGAAATAGAGGAAACAGAGATGATGCAGAAATAGAAGAAAGCTTTAACAAATTATAATAGTTGGCTGGGCACAGTGGCTCATGCCTGTAATCCCAGCACTTTGGGAGGCTGAAGTGGGCAGATCATGAGGTCAGGAGTTGTAGACCAGCCTGGCCAACATGGTGAAACCCCATCTCTACTAAAAATACAAAAGTTAGCCAGGTGTGGTGGTAGGCGCCTGTAATCCCAGCTACTTGGGAGGCTGAGGCAAGAGAATCACTTAAAACCCAAGGCGGAGTTTGCAGTGAGCCGAGATCATGCCACTGCACTCCAGCCTGGGTGGAAGGGTGAAACTCTGTCTCAAAAAAAAAAAATTATAATAGTCACAGAGAGATAACAGAATATATTGTAATCATAGACCTCAAATGGGATCCTATTAAAAGTAAATGTTCTGAAAAGAATAAAGGTGTCTTAGAAATTCAAAGCAGGATAAAGTTAGTGTAGGAGAGTATATTATCAAAGCAATAATACAATATAACATAATATATATTACATTTATTTTTCTGAAGGTCTCTCTTCTCCGGCCTCTTTTCTCTTTCTCCAATCTGAACTTATATTTCTTCAGGTCTAATACAGCAGTCATCCTGTGATATCTCTTTGCTTTGCTCTTTCTGAGGTGGTTAATATTTATATTATAAATGTAATATAAAATAATATAAAATCACATTTTATATTTAAAATCAATATTGAGAAAAGCACTATACTTCTTAATAAAACTCTAGATACCAAAACACCAAATAGTGCACTGTGATTTATATTTATGGAGCAATGCCTTCATATTATTAAAGAAAATTATTTTCAGTCTACTTAGCCAAACTTTTAATTAATCACGAGGGAATAATGAAGTTATTTTCAGTCACACAAGATATTGAGAAATATCCCTTCAACACCATCTGCCTCAGGAAGCTTTTGGAGGATATGCTTATGCCAAGCAATGGATTAAGCAAAGCATAGGATCCGGGATACAGAAAAGGAAGGATCTAGCCAGTAAAGCAGTAAAGCAAAAGACATCCCAGGATAACCACTGTATTGGACCTAGAGAAAGATAAGTTCAGATTTAAGCAGAAGGAAAGAAGGCTGGGACAGGGGGCCTCAGGAAAAACAAAAACAAAAACAAAAAACAAAAATGAATTTATAGTTTATTTGACATATATTAGCATTTGGAAAGATTATTTATAGGTATTTGCCATATCTGTTGGTGTATTTGGAAAAAAATAGAATGCAAAGCAAAGACAAAAGATAAAATTATTAGCTTTAAGAAAAATTATATAAGAAGGGAAAGAATCACAGTCAACTACTTGGTTTGACGGTGAACAATCATTTACATGGCCAAAAAAACTGAAATACTGTCTATTGATTTTAACTACATAAAAATCCCATAGTGAGGAAAATGTGGGATGATAATAGAAAAAGAACAAAATCTTCATTTTAAGCATCATGTGTAAAACTGACTATTCAAAAATGGTAGTATAAAATTATTATTTAAAACTATGAAAGTAAGTCCAGGTGCAGTGGCCCATGCCTGTAATCCCAGCACTTTTGGAGACAGAGGCAGAAGGACAGCTTGAAGCCAGGAGTTTGAGACAAGCCCGGGCAACAAACCAAGACCTCCCGCCCCAATACCCTGCCTATATCTACACGAAATTTTAAAAATTAGCTGAGCATGGTGGCATCCAACTGTAGCCCCAGCTACTTCAGAGGCTGAGACGGGAGGATCCCTTGAGCCCAGGAGCTCAAGGCTACAGTGAGCTATCATTGCGCCACTGTATTCCAGCTTGGGTGACAGAGCACAAGGACCCATCTCTAAAAAGAAGGAAATAAAAAGTGAAAGTAAGTATCAGAAGAAATAGGAAAATGAGTTTAAAATAGGTGAATGGTGAGGCAGGGATTACTGATTATAAGTCATTTAGCATTATCTGATTTTTTAAACTGTGTGCATGTATTGTTTTAGCAAAAAGATCAAATCTAAAAAGAATACAGATGCAAATAAAATGATACCAAAATATAATGAATATAATTTTAAAACATATTTGTAAATGTTAGTTCTTTCCTAAATGTGGCATTGATATGGTTTGGCTCTGCGTTCCCACCCAAATCTCATGTCAAATTATAATCCCCACATGTCAAAGGAGGGATTTGTAATCCCCACATGTTGAGGGAGGGAGGTGCTTGGATCATGGGAGTGGTTTTCCCCATGCTGTTCTCGTGACAATGAGTGAGTTCTCACAAGATCTGATGGTTTGACAGTTCCTCCTTCATATGCTCTCTCTTGCCTGCTGCCATGTAAGATGTACCTGCTTCCTCTTCTGCCATAATTGTACGTTTCTTGAGGCCTCCCCAGCCATGCCGAACTCTGAGTCGATTAAACCTCTTTTCTTTATAAATTACCCAGTCTCGGGCAGTTCTTTATAGCAGTGTAAAAACAGACTAAAACAAGCTAATGCTAATACATTGATACTTTATATAGCCTTAAGGAAACAAATAAATTGATCACATATATATACATATATATGTGTAGCATTAGCTTCATGGTTAATAGCAGTTAACAGACACAAAAGTCAAGGTGACAGACATTACTATTCACCTCATGAGTTTAAGGTTAATTGACTAACAATAGTGGCAAAAAATTTTATTGTAAAATCTATTTCTATAGACATGTAGAATCCAGAGACATGAGCATGTATGTCTTGATGAAGATACTAGATGCAGCATTCTGGCAGTATTTGAAGACTGAATTATAAAAATCTGCTTCATTTCATGGATGTACCTAAAACTTCAGGCCAAAGGTGCAGCATTTAGAATCTGCAAGGGAGAGGAGGAGACATTAGGAGAGAAAGAAGAAAGTAATATAGGAAAGAAAGATTAAGAACAGATGGCCATTACTATAAGGAAAGAAGGCACCTTGACTGTGTTATATTACTACTACTACACTGAGTAGTAAAGGAACTAGTATTTTTTCATTAAGCAAGGAGATGCTAGGTGATCCCTAGGCAGGAAACAACACTCAAAGGACTGTAAATTCTGAATTAGCAAACTTCTTGGAGAGGAAGATGACAAATGATTACCAGGCACGAAGTTCCAATCCTTATCTAATACCGGTTTTCTGAAAAAGGAAATTAAGGTGGCATATAGAAATTGTCATAAGTTGTAAAGAATTACCTGATGATATGTATGCCACTGATCTTATTCCCATTAACTAGCAGATTTTGAAACCTGTCTACGGGGTTTTAGTAGTGATTAAATTTATGTTTGTTATAGGCATTATTAAAGCACAGTGGAGTAATTGATACAATTACTGTAAACATCTAGAAGGCATAAGCTATTTTTAGAGTAAAAATGCAGGGATAATAAAGTCACAACTTTGAAACTGACCCCCCTCCCCAATTACCTGCTTGGTAATGAATGACTTGGAAAACACAATGATGACTTAACTTTATAAATGTGCGACTTAATTTTATAAAATAATTCAAAAAAGATATTAAAAATATTTGCTAGGCCGGGCGCAGTGGCTCACGCCTGTAATCCCAGCACTTTGGGAGGCCAAGGTGGGCGGATCATGAGGTCAGATCGAGACCATCCTGGCCAACATGGTGAAACCCCGTCTCTACTAAAAATACAAAAATTAGCTGGACATGGTGGTGCGTGCCTGTAATCCCAGCTACTCAGGAGGCTGAGGCAAGAGAATTGCTTGAACCCGGGAGGAGGAGGTTGCAGTGAGCCGAGGTCACACCACTGCACTCCAGCCTGGCAACAGTGAGACTCCGTCTCAAAAAAATAATAATAATTAGAAAAAAAATAAAAATTTGCTCATCAATTAAAATTCTTAAATGAAAATTAAAGAATTAAAATGATTTAATATTTTCACTAATAAGGTAGATGAATTATGTCATATTGCTATTCTTTACAGTTTGGATATAACTATTGTGTGAACAGGTTTCAATAAAAGTCTACCTTATATTTTGTGTGTGACAAAAATAATATATAATTGGTTTAAATAAGTCAACCATACAAGAATGTATAAAAAGGCAGATAAATATTCTCCCCCTTGCCCCATTCAATGTCACAACTTGTCTGTGATTTTAACATTAGGCGTGTGTCTGCTCATCCGGTACAAATATATTGCACTTATATAGCATTATTCTGTTTTTTTCAAAAGTGAGAAAATACACTGTAATTTTTTAAACTAGCAATTACTGTAGACATCTCTTCTGATCCATACTTTTAGGTCACTTAAACAGCTCATAACATAGATGTGTTATAATGTTTTGACCATTGCCCTACTGAGGGACATTCAGAATATTTGTAGTTGTTTACTACTATATTAAAATGAACCTCCTTTTACATATATCTTTATATATTGCTATTTCATTTCTGTAGGATATATTCATAAAAGTAGAATTTGCACTTTGGGAGACCGAGGTGGGCAGATCATGAGGTCAGGAGATGGAGACTATCCTGGCTAACACAGTGAGACCTCATCTCTACTAAAAATACAAAAAATTAGCCGGGCGTGGTGGCACAGCCTGTAGTCCCAGCTACTCAGGAGGCATAGGCAGAAGTTGCAGTGAGCCGAGATCGCGCCACTGCACTCCAGCCTGTGCGACAGAGACTTCGTCTCAAAAAAAAAAAATCTTTTTGCTAGATGAAAAATACATAAAATCGTCATTATTATCATCATTATTAGTATTGAATAGGTACTACATAAGCACGGTAAACAGAAAAACATTCAAAAAGGAAAAAGGGATATAAAAACAAAGTCTATTACACACTGATTCCTGTTATGTTTAAAAAGTTTGGAGAGGCAGGGCGCGGTGGCTCACGCCTGTAATCCCAGCACTTTGGGAGGCCGAGGCGGGCGGATCACGAGGTCAGGAGATCGAGACCATCCTGGCTAACACGGTGAAACCCCGTCTCTACTAAAAATACAAAAAATTAGCCGGGCGTGGTGGCGGGCGCCTGTAGTCCCAGCTACTTGGGAGGCTGAGGCAGGAGAATGGCGTGAACCCGGGAGGCAGAACTTGCAGTGAGCCGAGATCGCGCCATTGCACTCCAGCCTGGGCGAGAGAGCGAGACTTCGTCTCAAAAAAAAGTTTGGAGAATATATCATCTAATATACATACTAACCCAGAAGACTGAATTATGATAATCATTAATGTGTGAATAGATACACTAGTGACTATCTTGATATCAAATATTCAATGAAGTTCCTGTCTTTTCAGTAAAATGTCTGTGGCAGGTTCTTACTTTACAGGCATTTAAATTGGTCAGCTCCATCACCTAATAGATTCTGAAATTGATATTTTATGGATTATATAGACTACCAGACTTTCAAAGGATAGGCAGACCTTTTAAAAAATCTGCAAATTTTGAACTTTTATTGCTCTTCCTATACAAAACGAGAATCCAGATGAACCAGTGATTAACTATTTACTGGCAACAAGTCTGATGAATACTTAAAGGAGTTGCCTAGAAAAAACAAAGACCTCCCCCTAATCACACCCAACCCCCAGGGTCACTATAAGATAACAATGACTCTTAACTAGAATGCATGCTCACTGAGGGCTGGGATATTTTTTTTTTTTTTTTTTTTTTTTTTGAGACGGAGTCTCGCTCTGTCGCCCAGGCTGGAGTGCAGTGGCGGGATCTCGGCTCACTGCAAGCTCCGCCTCCCGGGTTCACGCCATTCTCCTGCCTCAGCCTCCCAAGTAGCTAGGACTACAGGCGCCCGCCACTACGCCCGGCTATTTTTTGTAGTTTTAGTAGAGACGGGGTTTCACCGTTTTAGCCGGGATGGTCTCGATCTCCTGACCTCGTGATCCGCCCGCCTCGGCCTCCCAAAGTGCTGGGATCACAGGCGTGAGACACCGCCCCCGGCCGGGATTTTTATTTTTTCTGCTGTATCCCCCAGTGGCTAGTGTCAGAGATAGAGATTCAATAAATACTAGTTGATTGCATAGTATTCAAATTTGGCCAAGAACTTGAGGACATGGGCTTTCAAATTATCTGATTCCAACATTTAAGCCAGGAAGAGCTAAGAAGCATTCACTCTAAATAGTATACATAAAAACAATTGAAAGCAAGTAACATATGGGAAGGGTAATTCCTTAGAAGTGATGTTATACATATGATGCAAATCACACATCACATCAAAGTCTTGTTCTACTTCCTAGTTTTAGCTTTTTAGCTTTCACAGTGCTAGGTTGGCTCGTCTGATCCCAGAAGTATCCTTGCATCATGACATATCACAGGTACATAATTCAACTCAATTCACACATAAATGGGAAAAAAAAAAAGAGAAACTTACGAGACTCAGAGGCACATTCAATAGGTTTACATTTAATAAAGGCTGTGGCGAGACACTTCAGGAAAACTGAAGACAGAACTCTCTTGGTTTGGCAATATTAAACTGGAAGCAGGGCTGGGTGCAGTGGCTCCCACTTGCAATCCCAGCACTTTGGGAGGCCGAGGTGGGCGGATCATCTGAGGTCAGGAGTTCGAGACCAGCCTGGCCTACATGGTGAAACCCGTCTCTACTAAAAATACAAAAATTAGCTGGGCATTGTGGCACACGCCTGTAATCAATCCCAGCTACTTGGGAGGCTGCGGCAGGAGAATCACTTGAACCCGGGAGGCGGAGGTTGCGGTGAGCTGAGATCGTGCCATTGCACTCCAGCCTGGGGGACAAGAGCGAGACTTCGTCTCATAAATAAATAAATAAATAAATAAACTGGAAGCAGAAGTATTGACTTAAGGCCCTTTCTGCCATTTTGATTCTAGAAAAAATAAAAACTGCTTGATGATTAATTAATTTTTTGCCAAACAGAAGGGATTAGTAGCAGGATTATTTTCCCTCAAAATTATGTAAAATTGAAATATTTTTGATTTGTATGCATTTTTTGTTACAAGTGGTAATGAGAATATAGCAGAGAAACTTATAAATTAGGTCCTTTAATAACTAATACTTCCAAAAGTAAAAAAAACTAAAATATTTCCAATTAGAAGCAATGATTAAACTTAAATACTATCTATCTATACAACTTGGGAGCAAAAGGGATATCTGTAGCTATGATGTGAATCTGATTTGACAGATTATATACTTTTACGTTGAGTATAATGACTAGTATTATAAAAGGGAGCTATAACTAGTAGAAAAATAACTCAGTAAGATTCTGCTGTTTTGTAATCAGGAAATATATTTGTCATTGACTCACAAAACAAAATGTGCTTTCAAAATCTTTTGAAACAATTTTTCTGAAATTTATTTCTAAAAGTCAGAGACAAAACTTTAGAAGTGACACATTTATACTAAGCATACATGCGTGAGCAAAAAAAATAAGCACAGAATACAAAAATGAAATAGTAAAATTTTAATACAGTATTCTGAATACAAGTAGAATACCACTAGATAAGAATTGTATTTACCTAAGAAATCTATGATAGTGTGGGTGGAGATAAACCAGTTTAGGATAGCCACTTCACTATTCACATTTTAATCAGTGCTGACCAGAAGCTAAAGCAATTTCTTTTAGGCTAAGATTGGCAAAAAATCATAGACCCAATTTTCCTTGTTATGAATCAAATGAACATGTTTTAAGGTGATTTGTCCTCATTTAACGGTAGCTGGGGTAAGTCAAACCACAGAGAGCCCTTACAAAGACTAAGCACCAAATGATGAACTGTTTGTGGCTTTTGTTTTGGGCCATCTTAAGTTTTGTGTTTTCCATTAACATTCATGTGCAAATTCTTACAGGCAAAAGTTTTAACGTGGAAGTTTCAGCTTGGAGATCTTGCCAACTGTACTTACAACAGTTTTAAAGCAATTGATACTTTCAGAACAATCTCAAGCTTAATTGGTTACCATTATAAGATGCAGAACTTTTTAATGTTTTCTGGTCCCTGAAAATTCAATAGGGCCAAATGCATTAACTGGAAATAGCATTTTTTTAAAGTCTTAATCAAAGATGATAATGGATAAAACAACTATATAGGCTCTCATACACAATCTTTCTTAATTTTCACCTTGTAAGAAATGATTACAATGTCCTTCAGGCTTGTTATACACCCCCACAGAATCAAGAAGAAAGCCAACAAAGAATTGAACATTTCAACAAGCTAGGAAATATTTACTGTAAGCATATTGTGAAATTCTGGAAGACATACTATCAATACTTTGAGAAAACACTATTAACATGTGTTGAAGAAGGCAGTTTATAAATGAAACATTACAAATCTTATGTTTATGCATACAACTTATAAAATAGAAAAAAGCTGCTATTTTTCCAATAGTATAGCATCACACTAACACTATATAGTTAAGATTGAAAACTTCTGTACACACGTTCACTACACCTCCAAAGCAGCATATGCCTCTTAGACATCCTCATTTGTTATCTAACATATGCCAATCATGGTTTCAGGGATTTGTATCAGTTCGAGCAGGCTAAAACAATCATTCTGCTGTATTTATTTAACTTTAGACACAGTTAACTAGCTTCAGGGAACAAAAGTTCCATAATCAATGAAGAAACATTAATACCAAATCCCCACAACAGGATGGAAAACATTTCTAAGGAGAGGATATAATCCTAACAGAATGGACTATGCCCCTAGTTACAGTGAATGTGGGAATTAATTAGGAGTCTGAAAAAATACATTAAGATATATAAAATTTAAGTGATTATCAAATCAGTAGTAACTACTAAAACTTAAATATGAATTATTGATGTTTTTCTAATGCAACATCATCCAGTTTACTGCTTAGGACCACTCTCAAAGCTGATCTGCCATTACATTTTGCTATTAGTGCAAATTAATACCCAAATAATAGGGAGCAGTTTGAATCACATGGAATTTCAAAAAACAGAATGATTGTGTATCTTTTCGTATTCTGAAAATAGTGCTATAAAACTCAATTATTCCTAGCTTCTAAAATCTACCATCTTAGATAGTTCAAATTAAACATGGTTGCCTGCAAATTCTTTTCTAGAGGAAGTAAACGCAAAACACATATGGTTATGTTTTGCTGCTGGTCTCCTCATACATGTGCTTCATCAACGAGAGCACTACTCTAGGCATGCATTTATCATACTACTTTAACATAACTGAACATGAGGAAAACAGTTCACATTTTGATAAGTGATTTATTTTGGCGGCAGGCTTATTTTTTAATGAAAACAAATCTCTGAAGTCAAATGGCCAGTTTGACAACCTGAATTAGAAACTTAAGTCTGTAAAAAAATCTTAAGACATGGAAAGCTGTTACTGAAAAATACACAATCTAACTTTTTTTCACTTTGGCTTTTTCTTTTATAAATGAAGATTTGTGGTAAAAGTCAAAGATAACTCCAAGTCACACAGGGCATCATTTGTCACTGCTTTGTAATAGAAATATATAAGTATTTTTAACTTGAATTTCAAAGAATTTAAGATTTTTTATTAAAGCTCTAGTCCAAGTTTCCAGCTGTTAAATTTTTAAAAAATATAATTTGGGTCTCTGATAGAACTTAGCTGGGCTAAGCTACTTGGATAACCTTACAGGATAGTGAGGTTCAAACAGAGATCATTTCCTGAACATGGCTGATCTTTAAGAGAACAATTTCCTCACCCAAAGTTATGCAGGATACTGCCAGATCTCCAATACAAAAAACCTGCCAGAATTTCTAGACAATTGTTTACCATCCATGTTAAAAACCTTGTACCACCAGAGGCAAAGCAGATAAAGTAAACTTGTTTCTAGTCTAGACTATTCACCTAAATAAACTCATAAAGTTGTAGAGAAAAATTAATGAATAGAAAGTAATTTTATCTGATCTGTCAGCCAAAAAAAAATTACTAATTCTCTATAATAAAGAGAAAACTCAACCATAAAATGTCTGTTTAAGTAAAAATGCCAATCTTGAAATCTTTTAACACCAAGACATAGAAAAAAGTTTAGAAATTCAAGATGATGCTTAAAATGAAAGCTATGGTTCGAAATTAGTATTCATAGTAAGAGACTAAAATCCTGTCACTGCAAAATTCCCCTTGGCTTTTGGCATTGACGTTGAAAGATTTTAGTCTTTTGGTCACTTGAAGCTGCTACAAAATACAACAATAAGCCTTTAAAATGGGGGCGGGGGAAGTATGGAATTGAAAGATAGTTAAGGTGACTACATCATATACAAGTAAAACATAGTTTGAAATAAACAGTCATTTCTGCTAGGGATCTGAAGATATAAGAACAGTTTTCCACTATCTCCCTTCCTTTTTGAAGAGGATCCTCTAAAGAAAATAATTCCTTTAAGTTACTGTTAAGTGGTGTTGCCTGGCAGCAGCTTCAATAGGCTAGTCTTCAATCCAAGTAATTAAGTAATCTCACAAGGAATAATCATACATGGCAACAGGGTAAAAAAGCAGGGCAGTTCTTCCATGCACAAACATTTCAGGAGAAAAACCATTAATTTTAAAGATAACCATCAGGTTTCAGGTATCCTAGCACACTCTAAACCTAGGTTTTGCTTTATACCATTGGTGACTAAAATTAACAATAAGTTTTGCAGTGAGGTGGTTTTTTTTTTGCCTGCAACTATATACACATTGCAAAACTATTCTGCGTCACATGATTTTAAATGAAATAAATACAAAAATGAACCACACAATCAACACATAACTTTAATACTCCACATTTATCTTGATCACAATGGTGGTAACCTCCTAGTCAACAATCTTGTGAGTTGAGGAGTTGATTCTCATTCTCATATCCATCAGGAAGATATGCCCTCCGTAGCTGGTCTGACTTAGGTATGGAGCCTCCATTCTTCACATGGCGAGATAGGAAAGCACGGACTGCTGGGTGATCAGCCTTCTCAAGTGGGATGTTGGCTTCCAGGCACATTTTCACAAAGTCCTGGATAACACTGACTTTCTCTGTTTGCGCAGTACTGTTGCACTGAAGAGATGCAGTTAGGGGCCTCTGCTTCTTTCTCACATTCTGCTCTTCAAATTCTGCCTTCCTCTTGGTATGAGTCTTTGACTTGAGGTGGTCACTAATGGCAGACTTGCGAACATGATTCAGAACCACATTGCAAGAAGTGCAGAAGAGTTTTCCTCCATCTTCATGCAGCTCACCTCCAAACTCAGTGACTCGATCCAGGGGAGTCACATACAAAGCAGTCTTAGAACGGTTTCGAGCAGGTGGTGCTGTTACTACAAATCGCTCCATTCTGACTCTAAATAAATATGGTTCTTTCAAGACAAAAGAAACAAAGATGAGTATTATAACAACAGTTCATTCTGGAAGTAATGAACAATAAAAGGCAGTATATAAACACTTCAAATACTTCAAAAAACTTAATTCAAATTAGTAGACTGTGTGTCTATTAATCTTAACTTACCTGAAATATATAAGGGAAGGCAAAACTAGAACAAGTTACTAACCAGTCGCAATCAGGTCCATTCCTTGATTTTTACGAAATTCAAGTAAATTAGACTATAAAGAAAGAACTCAAACTATCCCAGATGTCACCATTATTTAGGGAAACCTAATCACAGTTCAACATTTAGGATATAAATTACATTCAGGATATAAATTGTATTAATCTCATCTAACTTAGATATGCATTCAAGTTCAAAAGAGCTTCTTTCCTGTCACAATTCTGGGACAACTGATTTTAGGAACACAACTGTGGATAAAGTTTTTTCAAACAGGTGGGCCTATAAACTGCCATAATTCTATATGAAGATGAATATAGTTTCCAAAATTGTTCTGAGGAAAAACCACAAAAAAAAACCAGACCAAATACAACTAAAAGCAACAATGACATTAAATTGTAAAGCCAAAATATACAGTTCAAAGTTATTTTGTAATGCATGTATACCTCCGTTTTCCAAAAGGTGTTAAGATATGCAAAGTCTTACTTCTCTAATACTTGTTTCCTTTTCCCATTAAAATTAATAATTACATTTGTTAATACTTACTTCACTTAACTAGTAAGAACAAAATCAAGAACATAGAGTCTAGTATACAGCAGAACCTCAATTAAAATTTGATGGAAAAAGTACGTATCTTCAATATTTGTCCAAATATTTATATTTATTTAATCTAGAAGCAGCTTAATTAATTTCTCAATTTATCCTAATAACACACTTTTATGAGCACTGCACTAAATACCAAATGACAGCCTTATGGGCATTGAAACCTTTACATAATGAACATATTTTGGTAGGTGACAAATCATCAAGTCTTAATTGTTCCCTGGGGCCATACCTTTGGGCTCTTACAATAACCAAGACTTAAGAAGTTAAAGTGAATTTGATAAAATTCAAGATGGAATTCTGTCTGCATAAATATGTTAGAGAAATAATTCTAAGTGTGCTCTGAAGAATTATGTCTCATAAGTGTAATCAGAAACGATGGAGTATTCCATGAATACATACTAGAGAATAGCTGGGTAACATGAACTCTCTTTCAAAAGGACTTTAAATTGCCAACGTATCAGACAGTCATGGATCCAGAAGATTAAACATTCCACAGAAATTCTGAAAAGTACGATAAAGTCTAGGTTTTAATAAATTTTATTTTTTCCACTTTTTTTTTTTTTTTAAGTGCACAGCTCTCATTTGCCAAATATTGTGTTAGGCTACAGGTTTGCAACGGCAGAGAAGACAGTTATGATTCCTATCTAGTACTTACCATTACACGTTTATACTTTAAGTAAATGGTATGTGTTTTACACTCCCTCACAAATCAGTACCAATTATGATTAATGGTTCTAACCTAGTTGTGGTAAATATACCAAATATAACCTAGTTGTGGTAAATATGAGGTAACTATACCAAATATGGTTAATGGTTCTAACCTAGTTGTGGTAGATATTAAATATTTGTGCCCCGTAATGCGTTAAGTCTTACTTTCTATGTAAAAAGTCTTGTATCTTTAAATATTTGGATTTCAAAAACAATAAGCATGTAATTCTTTATAGCATAAAATGCTCAATCATTTGTGCTAATGTGAAAGGCCTATACTTTCCAATGTTTTCGTAATTTCAAGAAGTCTGTTTGTGTTACTGCAGAGGCAAATTTCCACCCAGTAGAGGATGCTCGAGTTTACATACCCGAAGAACAAAAGTGTTTTCAATAGAAGAAAACATTTTCAACAAATGAAGAAATTAAAAAGTGCAGGAATTAGCCAACAAAAGAGAAAAAGCATATCGTTTGCTAGATCAAAAGAAAACTCATCATAAGTTTTCAAGTTTAAATGTTTACCGGATTAGTTTCCAGTTTTTTTCGTCTTGATACTTAGCAGGGAATGGTCTCCAGAGCGAAACCAGAGACGCATCAAATCCTGGCACTTTCCGTTTGTTCAACCCCGGAGATGCCTTCAAATCAGTTTTTCAACAAGTGGTGGTGGGGAAATAGTTTCTGGGCTTGCACCCGATTTTCCCTGTGGTGCCAGGAAGTCATGCCTTTACTGTAAAACACGAAAAACAAATGGAAGGAAAAAATGGGGGACGGAAGGAGGGTGACTGAAAAGATGAACAAGAACGTCAACAACTGCCACCACGCAGGTGTTTCTAAAATCACTTTATAGGTAACTACAAACCCGATCCCAACGTTTACCCTAACACTTCCCCTCCCAGGTCCTCCTCGGTGGTCCGCCCGCTTGGCACCTCCTCCAGCTCCCCAGGCCCGGGGGTTCGGGCGGGGGCGGGGGAGAGGCGGGGCCCGGGACGTTCCCGGCGTCTGGGCTCTCTCCTCCGGCGCCAAGCCCAGCACGCCGGCGCCCAGCCGTCCCGACCCCGCTAGCTGGGCAAGGCCGAGTCCCAGGTGCCAGCTGTGGGCCCGGGAACTCGACAGCCGACTTGGCGGCAGTCTCAAGGGAGGCGGCGGCAGGCGCCTGGCGGAGGCGGCCGCTGTCAAGCTTCCCGTCTCCTCCCTCTTCCTCCCTCCGACAACTGTGCCCCAGCCCCGCCCCCGGTTCCAGCTTCTGGACGGAAGGCCCCGGGCCCAGAGCCCGCACCAACGGTCGGGCCCACCCTCGGCCTCCCTAGCTCCTTGGTACCGTAGGATCGAGGCCGCCGTTAGGGAAAGTGGACGAGGCCCGGCCGGAAAGGAAAAGAAAAGGAAGAAAGAGGAGCAAGGGAATAAGGGAGGAGGAGGATCCGTCGCTGCCGCCGTCGCCGCCGTTGCCCGATCGAGCCCCGCGGCGGCCGCCGTGTCCCCCGCCGCGCCCCGTCCGCCTGCACCGCCTATGGCAGAGCCCGTAGGCGGTCCCCAGCAACCGCCGAGCAGCATTGACCAACAGACGGCCGGTTTATCAAACAGACTGTCGATTTCACCAATAGTAGTGGAAAGGCGGGCATGAACATGATTGGCAGCTTGCGTCTTCCAATAAAAACTGGGGGCGTGGGTGGGCGGAGCCGGAAGTAGAGCCCAGCCGAGAGGCCCCTGTCCGGCTAGGGAGGAGGGAAGGGGGAGGGAACTAGAGAGGAGGAGGAGGTTAGCCTAGGCATCTACGGCGGCGGCGGCGGCGCAGGGGCTGGTACGCGCTGGGCGGCGAGAGCCTCATGGCGGAGGAAGAGAGCGACCAAGAGGCCGAACGCCTCGGAGAAGAGCTTGTGGCCATTGTGGAGTCCCCGCTGGGCCCTGTGGGGCTTAGAGCTGCGGGCGACGGCAGAGGCGGCGCTGGCAGCGGCAACTGCGGCGGCGGCGTCGGAATCAGCAGTCGGGATTACTGCCGACGCTTCTGTCAGGTGAGGCGTCCGTTGGCCGCCCCGACTTGTCACCCGGGTCCTGGGCCTCTCTGCGTCTCCTGGTCTTCTCGTCCATGAATCTGGTCTATGTCCAGTGCCCGCTCCTCCCCAACAAGGAGGGTGAGGCTGAAGCTCCCTCCTCCACTTATCCGGCTTGGGGTGGGGGGCGGGGAGCAAGGCGAGGGTGACCCACGGGCTTAGGGTTGCTGAGAAAGTGAGTTTGTCGGGGATGGAGGGGCTGGAAAGAAGGAAGGTCGGCTGTCCGGAAAGCTCTGTCCTGACATGCCTTCCCTACCCCAAACAGACCTTCCTGCCCGAGAGTCCCGCCTTTCTTATGTTTCCTACCCTGGTCTTTCTCACCTCATTTGGCACCTCTGGTAACATTTTCTGCCTTCCCCTCTCCGCCGATTGCCCCCCGTGTTCTCCCCTTTTTTTCCGGGATGGGAGACATGCCATCTTTCCTGTCACTGCCACTGTTCCCCCTCTTCTAGGGTCTCCTGTCATCCCCTCACAAGATCCCGCTGGGCCGGTTCTCCAGTTGGCGTAGACGCTGACCCACGGTGATTTAGTTACTTTTTTCGGACAGAGAGTGCGTTAAGGCAATGTGATTGTCTTTTTTTTTAACCTCCTTCGGTTGACACACGCACTCTTTTCTAATTAACTGCTCATAATGAAAGTAATTTTCCTTAAACTCTTGCTCCGGTTAACATCACCAACCCCCCTCATCCTTCAATATATAATGTATTTTATTTAGCCTGTAAAATACAGTGTCT
The DNA here is from genome assembly GCF_000001405.40 of Homo sapiens. Taxonomy (NCBI): domain Eukaryota; kingdom Metazoa; phylum Chordata; class Mammalia; order Primates; family Hominidae; genus Homo; species Homo sapiens. The sequence goes on from NC_000003.12 coordinate 88,060,279, forward strand.
GAACGGTGACATTAAATTATTTACTCAGTCGACCGTCACAGGGGTTTGATGTTGTTCAAAGTGTTTGTAATCAAATATAACAAATATACCCCTACTTTTTTAGGGGTAAAGTTTGTGTACTCTGCATTCTCATCTACCTGCATTTGTAATTTAAACGGTTTGTTCCCATTCACAACAATCTTTTTTTGCAAGCTATTTTGGGGAAAAAAATTAACTGCTCCTTTTCCATCCCATCCCTTTTAAAATGCGTCCATTAATTTGGGTGTATAGGGTTCAGATTCTGGCTCCACCATCTCCTGGCAGAAATTATTACCTTGGACAAGTTACTCTGTGTCTCAGTTTCCCCTTCTGTCAAAGAGGAGTAATAGTTAAATAAATATGTGAAGGGTTTGAATCAGGTAGCTATTAATTTCGTTCTGATAACAAGTAGGAAATAAAGTTAATGAGAAATGGACATCATGTTTGCTGACATTTCTTTCAATGCTTGTAAGGGATTTTTTCAATGCTTGTAAGGAATTTCTTTCAATGCTTGTAAGGGAAAGCTTGTAAGAATTCCCTTACAAGCATTGAAAGAAAAAGGATGGAGTTGACATTTTTCAGGTAAGTTTTTAATGCTTTAATTTAAATTGCCTTTTGATTTAATGTTTTCCCCCAGTGTCATAAAGAAGTTGGTTTGAAGAGTATGTCAGTTTCTTTGGCATTGCTATTTAATGACTTTCTTGAAAATGTATTTTTATTTTGATAATTGGCATTCACTTTTATTTTGATAATTGGCATTCACTGAATTTAGAGGTTCAGTGTCTTGTTTTCAGAGCACTTGTTTTGTAACTATACCTTTTACATCTAGAAACCACGCTATTGGTAGATTTTGTATCTATAGGAATTGTAAACTTCTGAAAATTAGGATACAATTTATATTTTTAATATATTCAGGGGCTGAAAATCTATTTAATTTGTTTGTTTTGCTTTTTATATCAACAACCAGCTACTAAAATTTTAGAACAAATGACAAATTTAGCCTGCAAAACACAGTGTCTTAATAGTGACAGTACAATATTTTAACAACAAATGAAGTTGACTACTTTATGACTTCGCTACCTCCTGTATATCCAAGGAAATAAAACAGGAAGAACTTAATGAACGTTTATTTTCTATTGCTAAATTATGTTAGACTGACATACTTTCATGTTACCAACTTTTACCTGAAACATAGTTTATTACCTGAAACTTTACATATTTTATAATACTCTAGGTTACTGAGAGATCTGCTCTGAGGTTTTGTCCTGGTTTTACTTTGCAGGTGAGCTTTGTGAAGTCCTTTTTTATATTAAAGCTTTTAGATGGAATAAAATATTCCTTTATTAAGTTGAATTTTATCTACTGAGAAATAAAATTCTACCATAGTAATTGCTTCATTCGTCAGTAAGGGAAGCAGGGGGATTATTTAATCTAATTCCTAGTCGAAGATTTCTTTTTAAAAATTTGGTTTTCTGACACTGAGGCTAATATTAAGTATAATAATTTGTTTTTATTAGTGAATGACTTAATCGTGAGTAATGCAATGGATATTGTGCAGTTGGGGTATGTGACAGTTAACTAAGTACATGAATTATACAGACAGGCTAGTGGTGTTTCAAAGAAAGGCTCTGGTTTATCTTCCTCTTTTTAGAGGGAAATATGAATCAAAATTTCTTGGCAGTTAGTTGTGTGGGCAAAGGGAGAGAGGAAGGAACACTTCTTTTCCAGAGGGGTTTTTGTGTCTTTTACCATAAGGAAAAGTAAAACAGAAGATACAGTGTTAATAATATTGGACTGGCCCTATCACATCCTCCCTTGGCTCTTGTTAGCTGACTCAATAAATGCTTAAATAAAACTGGCTCTTAACTGATACTTAATTTGCTTTGAGGATGAAAGGTAGGGGAAAGTAACTTTTATGGAAGGCCTACTAACTCTTAAGCTTCAGACAGCAAGTAGCATAGTTGAAATTGAGGCATGAACAAGTTAAGGTGTCTTAGTTTCCATTATGTAGACATGCTGGGATTTGAACTCAGTCTTCAGTTTCTGCTGAAAAGCAGTAAGTAAATCCTCAATTATAGAGGGGAGTTTTTTGTTGTTGTTGCAAGTGATGTGAAAGGAAAAAGAAGTTACTGGAAATAACTTGGTATTATGGATGAAAAGTTTAGAAAGTACTCTTTCATTATGACACAGTAGTAAGAAATACTTCAAGAAGCAGACTGTTATTGTCTGACTTGTTAAGTGCTGTAAACACTTTTCTAATTCCTGAAAGTTTTAATAATTCAATTTGTCACCAAATACACTGAATTTTTTGTCATAAATTGATTGTAAACTAAGGAAGTTAAGATACTTTCTTCTTAGTTCAGTGCCAGAATGAATATAATGAGTAATAAAAAAGGATTTCTGGAACCACTTTGATATGTTGATTGAAATATAATTTAAAATTATTTCATACTACAGTGGGGTTAATAGTCATGCCACGAGGATGTCATGAATATAAAAAGAGAGAAGAATATAATGTACTTAGTATTGTACGTAGCACACAGATAGACTTAAATAGGTAGATGCTATTAATATTTCTCTCGTAAAATCCTCTGAGGATTTATGAGGGACATTAGAGATAATCTGTAGGTAGCTTATAATTTGTGTTTCGCAGTAAACTTGAGAGAAAATTTAGAAATGTTACAATTCTTAAATTCTGTTATTTAATTAGAAAAGCGGAATGCTCCTGGTGAAACACAATGATTTGTAAAACAACTGTGGCGGGGTTCTCAGAGATTTTGTTTCCCTTAGGAGACATTTGGCAATGTCAGGAGATAGTTTTGATTGTCATGATTGAGGTTTGCTGCTGACATCTAGTGCATGGAGGCTAGAGATGCTACTGAACATCCTGCAGTGCACAGGATGGCTCTAACAACAAAGAATTATCTGGTCCGGAATATCAGTAATGCCGAGGTTGAGAAACTTGGCTGTACCCTTACTTTGGGACTCTTAGTGGGTACCTTTTATGCGTAATGCCGATATAAATGGCAGTAAAGTTTTTAATGATCCTCAAATAGTTTTTAAGTAACGACTGTGGGCCAGGCACTGTAATAGGTGCCTTAAGAGATGGTATTCACAGAAAAGAGAGTTTGTCCCATGGTATTATAAAATACATTCTAATGTCTCTTAATTTAGAGAAATTAAAATTTGTCTCAGGAAGAAACAATCCTTATTTCTTGGTCTTGATATAGGATTTACATAATACTTATTATAGCTCTATGAATAGTTTTCTAGGGTATAATACATTTTTACTAATTCTTGCTATTAATTGGGATTATTTTTAATTTATCTTTAATTTTTATTAATGTACTTAGTTTTAAGAAGTCATATAAGGCCTAAGTATCAGGAATTGCATTTTGGTGCTAATGGAGACCTGACTTAAGTGGTTCAAACAAGGTGGGCATTTATTATGTAAAAAAATCTTGAATAGATAGTGTAGGGATGGTACAGTGGCCATACTATCATTTGCTCTTTCTTACTAGTCATCCTTGTCTTAGCATCCCGAGTTTGTGTCATGATCCAGGGTAGTTGCTTGAGTCCCAACTATCACGTCTGACTTCCCAGTGGCAGGAGCTGGTTGTCTCTGTGGTGTAAACCAAAACAACTTGTCCTAAATCCTACTTAATGACCCACTTTCATCTTGTGAGTTATCCCCATCTGAAAAGAATGTTAGGAAATTTTTCTAGATTTTTGTTTCTTTGATCAACACATGCCTATGATTCTGTCAGTATGGAAGAAAACAAGAATGGATATTATTGAATAACGAGCTTCTTCTTTTTTTTTTTTTTGCCACAGCTTATAACAAAAAATAGCAGTCATGCCCTGTCCTCTTCCTTTCCTACTTCTTATTCTCCAGAGGCTATCACTGGCAACTCTTTCAGTTTTGATATTTACCTCTATATTTATAAGTAATTTTTTCCCTAGTTGTTTTAGATGGAATCAGTTGGCCTAGTACAGGAAGGAGATAGGGACTATCTTACTGTCTCACTATTGATCTCACTATTGAGCATGTTCACTATGTACACTTTGATTATACCCCGTTTTTGTTTATCCCTTTCCTTCCTGCTACCCTCTTTGTGTCCAAATGTTCAGTGTCTTCAGAGAATTAGGAGTTAGTTGCCATTGTTTTGTTAGGGGAGGGATCTGGGGGAGATTTTGAACTGATCTTTTTGTTTCTGACTCTGTTTTCACATCTTTTGGAGGTATGTGGTACCTCAAATTCCTGAGATGTTCTGGGGTTCTGGGGTTGATTCAAGCACACATGAGCTTGTTCCCAAACTCCCTCTACTGATGGCTTGGCTTTCAGTTTCTTGGGTCTGTTAAGCCAGTTACCACCCATCCATCTAATTTCCAACTACCCATCTGTAGATATCTCTCCTTTTTCATTGCTTTGTCCAGTGGGTTTAGCTCTTTTAAAACACAAATATTTTTACTGTTATTTTAGTGGAGTTTTCAAGTAGGATCAGACGTAAATGTGGTTCAATCTGTCACATTTAACTAGAAGTCTCAAATTAGTTTTCTAGCTCAGTAAATAATAATATGAAAGATGAAAAGGAAAGTATTGAGGATAATTTGCAGTCACTTATTTACTTTTGAAAGAGTATCCTATTTTCTGATCTATTCTGTGGTGAATATCCAGAGCTAGAAATAATTTAATTGCACTGATAATTTTTTAATTGCATTGATAATAATTTTTAATTGCATCGATAATTGCATTGATAAATTTAATTGCATTGATGCAAAATTATTTTTATTTCTCAATTGCAAATGAAAATTTTAGCTTTTTAAAAAGTTTTCAAATTTTGGCACATTTGGGATATTTCAAGTCTTCATAAAAGGTGAATTCCCTGGAAAGACATCAACTCGTTTATTATAATTAGGAAAAAACAAAACAAATGAACCTTAGATGTTGACGGCTGTATTTGGGGAGCTAAATCCTTTTTTTTTTGTTATTGTTGCTCCTTAATGCCTTTATAGGTTGACTTTCAGAGTTGAGTTGAACTGATTGTTCATAATGACGTTGTTTGTAATAGTAAATCATTGAAAACTACCTAAATGACTATTATTAGGGGAGTTAGTACATATAATGTAATCCTATGTCCCTTTTCCCTAAACAATCATGTATTTAAAGAATATTTATTCATACGAGAAACTGTTTATAGTGTAACTACTGAAAAGACACAGGACACAGGTGATTTCACCTTTGTAAATAAAAAGACTGAAATATACCAAAGTGTTGTTAACTTTGTGGTGGTATGCTTATGGCTGAATTTTATTTTTTACATTTTTTTTTTAGTTTTTTAAAAATTAAACCTACTTTATAATCAAAGAAAAAATAAAGTATATAAAATAAATTTCATTTTCTTTTCCTACCTCACAGATTGTTTATTATTATTATTTTTTTGAGACAGGGTCTGGCTGGCTGTGTCGCTCAGGCTGGAGTGCAGTGTTTGCCATCTAGGCTCACTGCAACCTCCCTGTCCGGGGCTAAAGCGCTTCTCAGCACCCATCAGCCCCCACCCCCAGTAGCTGGGACTTCAGGTGTGCACCACCATGCCCGGCTAAATTTTTGTAGTTTTAGTAGAGACGAGGTTTTACCATGATCTGCAGGCTGGTCTTAACTCCTGAGGTCAAGCGAGTCACCCACTGTGGCCTCCCATGATGCTAGGATTACAGGCATGAGCTACCGCGCCTAGCCCTAGATTGGTTATTTTGTACAAATAGATACAAGATTATTTTGAGTATGATGAAATTTTAATTCTTTGTTTCCCCAAAGCATGTGAGATGCTTTTTTAAAAAAATGAATTGGTTAAATAAACTTATGAAAATCATTTTAGAATGACCAATGAGGTTCTAAACTTCAGTGACTTTTTTATACACAGTCTTTCATTAGATACATGACTATTATTGCTTTCCAAATAACCACTCACTACATTGCTTCAGAAAATCTATCCGTGCCAGGGTGTGGTGGCTCACACCTGTAATTCCAGCACTTTGGGAGTCCAAGGCAGGCAAATTGCTTGAGCTCAGGAGTTCGATACCAGCCTGGGCAACATGGTGAAACCCTATCTCTACAAAAAAACAAAAATTTAGCTGGGTGTGGTGGCACACACCTGTAGTCCCAGCTACTTGGGAGGCTGAGGTGGGAGGATGGCTTAAGCCCAGGAGGCGGAGTTTGCAGTCAGCTGAGATCTCCAGCCTGGCTGACAGAGCGAGACTGTGTAAAACAAACAAACAAACAAACAAAAAAAACAAAAAAACCTCAATTTTAATTTTGTAGATAAAATGGCAGGAGGAAATATATTTAAATGGAGTCATTGCTTTTAAGTTTTTTAGTTATATCATCTTTTCACAGTTCTGCCAAACACAAGTAAGGCACCATTTGTACTGTTGTTACTGGCACTGAATTTTCTTGCTTTCCTGCCAAAATGTGCTAAACTACACCTTAAAAATTACAAACAAAAACAAAAACAAGAACTTTACGAAACCTGTAGTAAAATATGTGTCTGGTAAGATATGTGAAGAAATAAAATAAGATCAATTAAATCTGGCCCATTGAATGACACATTAATTGTATATTAATATGTAATGTTAAAGATATTAGGAGATGGTGGGACATTATGGCAAACTAAATTTGGGAGGAGGTTGAATTGTATAATTTATGAAATCCTAAAGTCTAGTACATTAACACTCTCTACTGTCAACTTTTCAAAGCAGTGGTGAATACAAAAACTGAAAGACTCCATCTAAACAGTAAAAAAGTCACTAATGTGAAGGTTGAAGCTTGTCAATTATATAAGGCACTGGGGATACAGTGGTAAGCAAACAGACATTGCCCAATTTTGTGTGCAGTTATAACTTTGGTAAGTGCTATGAAGAAAAGATACGCAATACTATAAATGGGAACTAATAGCTTGACTATGTATATTTGGATACCTGGGCAAGTTCTGCTCTACTGAGATCCTTTCGTTTGGTTTGATATGTTGAATTTAAGGTGCTTTTGCCTCATCCAAGGAGAGATCTTAGAGATAGCTGGACTTAACAGAAGCCAGAGCTCAAAAGGGAGGTCCGGTTATCATAGCCGTGTGGATGGTATTCGAAGTCATATGTGTGAATGAGCTCACATAGGGAGAGAAAGTAGACTAGGAAAAGGAGGACCTTAAAACTAAAGCTTGAGGAGCCTCAAAATTAAATGTCTCAGTAGGAAAGGATGAGTCTTCAAATAAAGTTTGAGAAGGATTAAAGAGGTTTCAGAAACCCAGAGAACTGTGGTGTCACAAAAGGCAAGGAAAGAGAATGTTTTAGGATGGGGTGAATGGTAACTGGCATTGCAAACTGTTGAGATCCAATCGTTGAATTAACATGGAGTCTTGGGTGACTCTAAACAGAGCTGTTTTGGTGTAGTGATGGGATCAGTAGTCAGGTTGGAGTAGTTCCAAGAGTGGGAGGTGAAGGAATAGACAGTAAGTACAAATAACCTATAAAGGAGAAGGAAAGATATGGTGGTAACTGGAGGCATTGTGGATTGAAGGTAAAATTTTCTTTTCTTTCTTTTTTTTTTTTTAGTAAATTGGTGTGAACTGTGTACACTTAAAATCTGGTGAGAATGATCCATTTGAAAGGAAGATACAAATCTACAAAAGAAGGGATTATCTATATTATAAGACCCCTGAAGGGGAGTAAGGACAACACTCAAAGCACAAGTGGAGGGGTGTTGCTTTATATAGGAGTTTTGTGGTAGGAGTAAAGTTCATCTATTAAGAGTACATGGAGGTGGTTGGTAGCTGATTAGAGAGGTATGTTGAATTGACCCACAGAACCATTTGAATTTGATCATTGTGAATGCAGAGTGACCATTAGTATGTACCTTTGTTCATCAGTGCTTATTTGTCTCGGTGAAGGTGTGAAAAATGAGTTACATTCATTCAGGATTAGGTGTAGACTATGATAAATCAGTTAATTAACTTTGAGACAGAAAGGGACAGGTTCATTTTCGGGCTCCACTTGTGGCAAAACATAGCACAGAGAAGTGAAGGGAGAAGAAAAGTGGTTGTATCAGTACATATTAATAGACAGGTGCACAAAATTGTTCTGTGTACTGTGAAAATAAGTGTGCATATATAATGTCATAACAAAACATGTACAGGTTGTTAATATGTATTTCTACAACTAGAGTTTATTGACATCAACCAGTATGTTTTGGTTACTCTAAAGTTGAAATATTATAAATACTCTTCCCAGTGATTTGATGTGTGTATGTTAATGTTTTTAATATCTGGAAGCTATTATTGGAATGCTTTATATATGTATATGCTGTATATATGTATATAACTCATTTTGAATGCTTTCCATGAATCAGGGATTGTGATAAGTTGTTTACCTGTTTTAGCTCATTTAATCCACTACCCTACAAGCTATGTGCCATTATTCTCATTTTTATAGGTCAGGAAACTAAGACCAGAAGAGATGGCTTGACCAAGTCCTGTACCTAGTATGTGATAATCAGACTGTAACCTAGCCAGTTTGACAGCCAAAAGCCAGCCCGTGCACTTAGCCTCTGCAGTGCAATACAATACATTGTATTGTATCTAGGAATAAGCATTTGGTATCTATTGTACCATCTATGCATATATATTTGATATATACTGTAGCTTACTAAAGCAGTTTTGATTGAGTGGAAGCAGTGGAATGGACACTGTTAAAAAGACTCAAGGCAGCAGAAACTAAAGATGTTCATAAATGTGAAACAGAAGAAAAAAATCAAATTCAATCTAGCAGAAGTTCCCCATCAGAAGTGATTCTCAGGCCAGGCGCCGTGGCTTACACCTGTAATCCCAGTACTTTGGGAGGCCGAGGCAGGTAGATTACCTGAGTCCAGGAGCTCAAGACCAGCCTGGCCAACATGGTGAAACCCCATCTCTACTAAAAATACAAAAATTAGTCGGGCATGGTGGTGCATGCCTGTATTCCCAGTTACTTGGGAGGCTGAGGCAGGAGAATCACTTGAACTCTGGAGGCGGAGGTTGCAGTGAGTCTAGATGGCGCCGCTGCACTTCAGCCTGGGTGACAAAGTGAGACTCTGTTTCAAAAAAAAAGAAAGTGATTCTCAACTCTTAGTCCACCCCCCAACCCACTTGAATGGGATATGCTTAGATGAGATAGTAACAATGGCTCAGTTATAACTTTTCTTCATAGCACTTATCGAAGTTATAACTACACAAAACAGGACAATGTTTGCTTACCACACTATATCCCCAGTGCCTTATATAATTGGCAAGCTTCAACATTCACATCAGGACTTTTCTGCTACTTAGATGGAGAGTCTTTCAGTTATTTTTGTATTCACCACTGCTTTGGAAAGTTGACATTATAGAGTGTTAATGTACTGGACTTCAGTATCTCGTGTAATATATTACACAAATTATAGCAGTTCTCAAAATACCAAAGTTATGGTGACTGCAAACCAGTAGAAGTTATTTTATGTTTATTATCTTGTGTTTTGAAAGCAGGAGAGTATGGGATGTGTTTTAAATGTTTATCCTAAATGATTAAAGTTTGTCAGTCTCTCCATATTTAGATTTAACCTTGAATATCTGGAAATCCTACCAGTCCCAAATACAATGGATGTGTTTTTTTGGCCTTTATCTGTCGTACTGTCATTTGACAAATCTCTCAAATTATAGAATTTATTTTTAAAGTCTAAAATTTACATATATTCCATGCTCATGAGAGTATGAAGATCTCTTTTTCAGCTGATGGGAGTACAGATCACCACGACTTTTCTGGACTACAATTTACCAAGATATTAGAAACCTTAAAATAATTTGTACCTTTTGACTTAGTCATTTTTCTTATAGCATTCACTTCTGAGGAATTATAAATTTGGACACAATACTATTCTTCATAACATTAATTATAATTAATGTAATGAATGAAAATAGGAAACCAACCAGAACTTCTAAAATAGGTGAATATCTTTTCATCTCCCATAAATTAAAATTTTATGCAGCCATAAAAAATGATCTTTTCAGTGTCCACGTAATGATTGAGGTAAAGTTTTATTTGCATTTTCTTGGTGAGCAGATCCAAATTTCTTTTTTTTTTTAATCAGATTCTTTTAAGAATTTCAAAACTTGCCAAACAAATACAACCCAACAATAATTCAGACATACCAAAAAAAGTTATGAACCTTTGCTATACGCCACTGTGGCAAAGGCAACACTGCCTGTTTTTTTTTTTTTTTTTTTTTTTTTTGCAGATCATATTGGTGTTTGCCCATTTAATTTTATATACTCTGTGATTGCTTTCATGATACAACAGCAGGGCTGAATAATTGGGTTGGAGAAAGTATGGCCCATAAGCTACTTTTTGGCCCCTTAAGAAAAAAAGTATGTCAGTTCCTGTCCTAGATTCTCGTTTATCCTTTGCAAAAACTCTGTGAAATAAGTACTGTTTTTATCGTCATTTTATGAATGATGCAGCTGAGACTCAGAGAGATTAAGCAACTACCTTAAGACACACAGCTAGAAAAGGGATCAAGATGTTAATAGTGGTTATCTGTGGGCAGTGCAATGATGGATACTTTTTTTCTCATATATTATCCAAATTTAATATAGTGAGTGTACATAACATAAAACATAATCAAGCTGAGGGAAAGATATAAAACGTAGGTAGAGAGTTGTGAGAATGTTAAAACTCATTCATCGGTTCTCAATTTATTACTTTGATTTCCTGCATATCATCCTGTCATCCTGTGTTTATAAACTTAGAGTAGATATTCAATTTTTGCTTTCCTTCCTGGCATCTAAAACTATATTATGCAGTTCCCCAATTCTTGATTTTATTTAAAAAGTAAGAAATTATTATCTCGTTTCTTAAAAACTTCTGTATTGGGCCAGTAGTGGTGGCTCGCGGCTGTAATCCCAGCACTTTGGGAGGCCAAGGTGGGCGGATCACCTGAGGTCAGGAGTTTGAGACCAGCCTGGCCAACATGGTGAAACCCTGTCCCTACTAAAGACACAAAAATTGGCCGGGTGCAGTGGCTCACTCCTGTAATCCCAGCACTTTGGGAGGCTGAGGCGGGCGGATCACAAAGTTAGGAGATCGAGACCGTCCTGGCTAACACGGTGAAACCCCATCTCTACTAAAAATACAAAAAAATTTGGCTGGGCGCGGTAGCGGGCGCCTGTAGTCCCAGCTACTTGGCAGGAGAATGGCGTGAACCTGGGAGGCGGAGCTTGCAGTGAGCTGAGATCGCGCCACTGCACTCCAGCCTGGGTGACAGAGCGAGACTCCATCTCAAAAACAAACAAACAAAAATTAGCCGGGCGTGGTGGCGGGTGCCTTTAATCTCAGCTATTCAGGAGGATGAGGCAAGAGAATCACTTGAACCCGGGAGGCAGAGGTTGCAGTGAGCTGAGATCGTACCATTGCACTCCAGCCTGGGCGACAAGAGTGAGACTCCGTCTCAAAAAAAAAATCAAAAACACTTCCGTATCAAACTTCACTTTTGAAGCCATTTTGTACTGTACTTTTAAGACTTTTTATCTTCTCTCTTATATTTTGAAGTTAACTTCAACAACTATTAAATGCTCATAACTTGTAAGTGCTCATAAAATGCTGTATTTTTCTTGTCAAACAGTACATACTTTTTCTTACTATCAATCAGTTGAATATCCTTAGATATCTTAGGCATAAATCTACATATATAAAGTACAATAATTGAGTATTGTAGAGGGTATTCCTTTAAGAAAATAATAGGTACTGTGTGAAAAGCTTCATTTTAGTGATTATAGGGAATTTAAAGGAAAAACCATCCTTGCTCTAAAGGAACTGAATTATCTAGTAAGGGAGAAAAGGCATATCTAACTATTATTTCTGTCTATTATGACCCTGATCCAAACTATAGGTATCTTTCTCCTGGATTATTTTATTTCCCTGTTGCCACCTTTCCTCACTTTCAGTTTATTTTTTACACAGCAGTCAATGTGATCCTTTTAAAGGTATGAGTGAGGCCTCTTCCAAACCTTCCATACTTCTGTATCTCAGAGTCAAAGCCAAAATCCTTATAGTGTACTGCAGGGCTCCATAATCCTGCCCCATCTAGCTCTGTGACTTTTTCTTTTATTACTATACACTCACCAACACTAGTGTCTTTGCCACTCCTTGTACATATCTGCTTCTTGGCTTTTGTTTTGTCTGCCAGAAACATGTTTCATTTGGATATTATATAGTTTGCTGTGGGATCCTCCACAGATAGACTCTTATTAGAGAGATAGAGGCCTTCCCTGAACACCCCATGTAAAGCAGCATCCCATCTCTAGTATTCTTTTTCCCCCTTACCTGTGTTTTATTAATATTATATTTAAAGGTACTTAACACCATCTAATATATATTCATTTACCTCTTATCCCTCCACAAAAAAATGAAAGCATCAGTGAACTTGGTACACAGTAGGCACTCTAAGGTTTGAATAAATTAATGAATAAATATAAATAAACCCTAAAATAGGGAAAGTGTGATTAGTGCCACTATTTGAATTCCTATGCACGTTCACATGGAGAGACCATTTCTGATAGAGATAATTTGGAAAATTTTAATGGATGAAATAGGATTTGACTTGACTCTTAAAAAAATTGTTAGTTTTAAAATGTAGGCATGAAGAAAGGAAATAGTATGGGGTAGGTGGACATTTTAAGTAGAGGAGATAACTTGTGAAAAGATGGATGGCATGGCACATTTATGAATGGCAGTAGTTAATTGATTAGAAATATGGTTCCTAATGTGTGGATCTCCAGACCAACAGTATGAGCATCACCTGCAAACTATTAGCAGTACAAATTATTGGCTCCACCCAGACGTACAGAATCCGGAACTGTGGGACTAGGGTCCAGCAATCTGATTGTCACATTTTCCCAATGAGTCTAATGCATGCTAAAGTTTGAGAGCCACTGGACTAGAACATAAACTCAAAAAAGAATTGGTAGATAATAAGATTGGAAAAATAGATTGAGGCTTGGCTTAGGGGTTTGAATTCTGTGGGATAATACAGCATTAAAGGCAAAGTCATGCCATTATTAATCTTAAAATACTGTTTTAAGATACCACAGGAGGTAAAGAATGAAAGTCTACATAAAAAAAGTAAGCTATCGAAGTATCCCAGAAAAGGAATTGAGGGCCTGGCTGAATAAGTGGCTGGAACAATTTCAAGGAATATTATGTATACTAAAGTACTTAGCATTTTGCTAAAAGTGGAGACAAGGCACCAAAGAATTCTATGAAATTATACTGGGTTTCTAATCTAAATATCTGAGAGTATAGTGATGGTATTAACAATAAATGGTGGGAGGAATAATTAAGGTATCTAAATGAACAGTATAGTTTTGGTTCTATTGGGTTTGAAGAGTTAGTGCATTCTTCTTAAAAAAAGGAAGAGTAAAAATTGTTAATCAGTAGCTACAATGTACATTTTTATTAATCTTGAGTATATTTATCCCTATTTAATAAGAGAGCAGTGGATTTTCTAGTACCTTATGGTAAATATAAAACTCATAATTTATTTTCTCCTTTTAGTAATGTCTCAGTACTTAAGAGTATACGGCTTTTTAAGAGAGGCAGTTTCTGTGTTTGAGAAAGCTAATTAACCTGTGATAGTGTTTTAGTTTAAAATTTCCTTTCCAGTTTTAATTTGAGGTTTTAATTTGAGCTTTGGTACAGGGGATCAAATGTCCACAAAAATAAGAATCTACCAGATTTGATCATTTGTCTCCCATTTTTGAGTTCACAAAGAAAAATTAAAGTCTAGAGTCTAAAGACATTAAGATCCCAAATTCTTCCCCTTCTAGAGTATTACTTAATCAGAGCCAGTGGGTTTCTCATGTGCCCCTATGATTTAGAGATGGGTATTTTTCAGGAGCTGCAGCTTGGGTTTTCTTCCTCTGATTGGGAGTGGCTTCTTTTAGCCCTCTAAAGGAGAATTCTTTAACTTCCAGGCTCTTTTTATATCTTACTTTTTTTTTTTTTTTGAGACTGAGTCTTGCTTTATCGCCCAGGCTGGAGTGCAGTGGCTTGATCTCAGCTCACTGCAATCTCTGCCTCCTGGGTTGAAGCAGCTCTCCTGCCTCAGCCTCCCAAGTAGCTGGGATTACAGGCATCTGCCTCCATGCCTGGCTAATTTTTATATTTTTAGTAGAGACAGGATTTCACCATGTTGGCCAGGCTGGCCTTGAACTCCTGACCTCAAGTGATCCGCCTGCCTCGGCCTTCCAAAGTGCTGGATTATAAGCGTGAGCCACTGCGCCCGGCCTGTGTCTTACTTTCTTAAGAGTCTTGAAGATCAGTAGGGCAAACGTTTATTACTGCACCCAACCCAATACCCATTAAATTTAGAAATATACTAATATTTCTGTCAACTATACTATGTACTAAATTCAGGGAATTACTTTTGCCAGTAAAAATTAGTGATATCAGAAGGACGATGGATGCACAGAAAACAGGATACCAAGTGAATTTTGGTTTAAACCTCACCAGGCTCACCAGTGTGCCAGTTAGTTGTGCCAACTGCCAGTGTCCATAACTTGTGCTTATATTTTACTAGGAAAACTCATCAAGTGTTTAATTGTGCTACTGTCTGTTTGCCATATTTTGTGGAGGGTGCTCTTACCCTGACCATTTCCTCCTTCCTGAAAGTAGTATCCTAATTTCTGTCTTTTTGCAAAGTTTACAAATTTCCATGGACGGTAGCCCCAGGTACCTCATCTTAATTGATGTTTCCTACTTTATATTTCCATCATATTAAAAGCTTTTAATTTCTGTTTCTTCTGTGTTTTCCTGGCACTCCTTGTGCTGAACTAAGTGTGGAATCTGTTGAGTGGCACCACTTCTACTAGCTGTTATAAAGAGCATATCACTTACTTGTAGTTTGTAACGCTTCAAGCATAGTCATTTCCTTGCAGCCTCCACAACCTGTGTTCTGCTCTTGCATCTGTATTTCTCTAGACCCAAACATGTGCCAAGGCATTTTTAGTCTTGTGCTACCTGGGCTGTTGCCATGCCCCTTGAAAGTTCTAGGCCTATCATAAAAACACTCTTTTTGTGCCCTCATATTTGTATTATTTGGATAATAACCATGGAACAGGTACCTAAAGTGGAACTACTTTTGTTGTTTCTGAAGTCTGTGCTTTTAGGAGCCCAGTAAAGACAATATCTCTTCTGCTGCTTGCTCTTTTAGACCTTTTCTTTGCTCTGCTTTTAATTATTCCAGGCCTTGCATAATTTGTTCTACTTTATTGGCAGAATAAACATTCCTTTTTGTCACATTTCTTTCAGCAATAGTAGGATATGTCATTTCAGATAAGCAGCTGGTTTTTGTGTTTGTTTACATTTGAGCCTGTTATTAAATTTGCCTCGCCTATCTTCCTTTTTTTTTCTCTTGGTTTTTTTGTTCCTTCAGTTATCTCTTGTAGTGTCTTCCGTAATGTTAGAGAAGGAAAGTCAAGGAGTTCCAAGTGCATCAAAAAGCATTCAATATCAAGCAAATTTTGCTCACTCTTGTATCTGACTTAAGAAAAAAATCTTACCAGCACAACATCAAACCCAAGACTGACCTCTTAACTTTGTTTCTCTTCAGCATAGCTCTTCCCATTTACTTCCCTGAGACCTAACTTTGACTTTCTGGAGCACTTTTCTTTATGGCACAATGCCATACTGTATGTTGTCGTTTGTGGTAACTATTCATCTGAAATGCACCTGAAATGCTTCAGATATTTTAAGGTAATCTCCCTGCTTTTTAATTTATCAAATCTGTACAGATTTTATATTACTTGTATAGTAGTCTCAGTCTTCAAGGTGTGGTTTTTCAGTTGCTTTTATTATAGACTTTCTGCCTTTTAAAAAGCAAGCTTTTGCCATATTGCCATAGTTGGATCTCCGGTCTGGTTCACTCTTGACATTTCCATCCCATAGTTACCTTCTGTCCCTCAGTTAGGTACTTTTGTAACCAGTCACCCTTCCTTTATTATGAGTAACATCTATAATTTTTTTTCCCCATTTTCATCTTTAAGTACAGTTACTTCTGATATATATCTCCTTTTTCTTTTTTGATATCTGTCTAGTCTAGCCTCTAAGAGTGAACTTTTATTCCTAAGGAAGTCCCTCTTTTCTTTTATCTTAATCAGTATGCCCTCCTTTTATTTTTCTTTAATTTTTCCACTGTTAATTGTGAGTGCATCATCTGTTTTGTTTTGTTTTGTTTTGTTTTAAACAAATTTAGTTCTTGAAACCGAGCATACCTCATCCTAGAGTTGGTGTTTGTTCATCTGTTATTTTAATTTGATCTTCATGTACTTCTTGTGCGTATATTTTGGGGTTCCCTTGTCCATGCACCAATTTTAATATTTATGACGGAAGCATTTAATATATTACTCTCAGCTCTGATTTTGGAATCAAATGAAAAATTGGCAGGGATCTAAATTCATCTAAAGCCTTTAAAATGACCTGCTATTCATAAGAGGAAAGTTGGATCTTTAGGCAGATACCTAAGCTGCCACATGGAGGACTCTGACCTGCCTCAAAGGTGGTGCAAGTAGCTAACTCAAGAGGGATATGAGAACCAGACCAATACATTAACCTTGGCCAGGAGCTGAGAGACTCTTATTAGTATTGTTGATTTTACTTCCCTGGAGTAAAAGAATTTTAGGGAAGGAGGAAAATCATCCTCTCACTGGTATTTTTTGAGATAGAGTAAGTTCTTATTTTATAAACAGGAATGTAGAGGAAAAGAGAAAATGTTTGCCCCAAACTTACCATGTCCAGAATTTGGGAAGAAGATAAAAATATAAGAATCAGAATAGGGGAGGAGGATTGTGAATGAATTTTTGTTGTTTAGCCTTCTCAACTCATCTCTGTTTCACTCACCAATATAGGCAGTGTGCTTTCCATTTCTTTGCCCTGGCTTATGTTGGTAGTTACAAAAAAGAGAAAAAGTTGCAGACTTAAATTGTTTTTTTTTTTTTTTTTGAGACGGAGTCTCGCTCTGTTGCCCAGGCTGGAGTACAGTGGCGCGATCTCGGCTCACTGCAAGCTCCGCCGCCGGGTTCACTCCACTCTCCTGCCTCAGCCTCCCGAGGAGGTGGGACTACAGACGCCTGCCACCACGCCCGGCTAATTTTTTGTGATTTTTTTAGTAGAGACGGGGTTTCCCTGTGTATGGGGAATCATTGTTCTTCATTTAATTTATGAAATATACCCATGAAAAACTTGCATTTGTGGGAATGTCAGAAAAATTATACTGCTTCTGAGATAGGGAAACCTTTTCAAAATAACACATAGGAAAGATAAATGAAACATGCTGTAATACTTACTATTTTTATGTAAACTGACAGAATGCAATTTAACAGAATATTTTAAAAACTGAAGAAGTCACAACTGATTTTAAATATTAATGTCAAATATCTTGGTTCAAAGAGTTATTTACTGTGTGTTTAATGGAAATCATTTCTCAAAACCAAGGTTGTTTTTTAGTGTAGAAGTAATTCTGTATACTCTGTGTTGTAGCTTCACTGTATTTCATGAGTCACCAAAGCCCCTTGTTTTGTATATATGTTGAATTTTAGGTGACTATTATGAATGTAAATAAAACTACTTCATAGGTTGAATTCCTTTGTGAAATGTTGTGAAATTTCTTTGTATTTAATATAAAACATGCTTAATATGCTAATTCTGGAATCCCTATATTAGCAAGTATAATACTCTTTACATTTCAAACTATTGTGAATATCGGACTGATTTCTTTGTTAAACTAGTTAGTAGGGTTTTGATATATATTCTTTCCTCTTGGATGGAATTAATTCCTATAACATTATTTAATTTCATTCCTTCTTGTGCATGTTCATTATCTTCTATTAAATCAACTGGTATGAATGAAGGGGGTAGACCCTCTGCTTTGCATAGAAAAATAAAACTACTTCATTTTATTTTTGGAACTTCTAACAAGGTGAATGATTTTCAAATTGGTAACTAAATGTGGTTAAACGTATTAAAGCCCAAAACAGGTAGGGAAAGCTGGTAGGGTATTTTTAAATAAGTTTAAATCTCATCCCAGGA
This sequence comes from Homo sapiens, assembly GCF_000001405.40. Classification (NCBI taxonomy): domain Eukaryota; kingdom Metazoa; phylum Chordata; class Mammalia; order Primates; family Hominidae; genus Homo; species Homo sapiens. The sequence goes on from NC_000003.12 coordinate 88,078,438, forward strand.
TACTGGGGTAGGGGGTGGGACAGGAAGCACTTTAAGATTTGAAGATACAAATAACTGAAGAGATGCTGTTAGTTTAGATAGGGGCAAATATTCTGTTTTCCAAAAAGGTAGGTTATGGGAACAGATGGCCACTAAAAGTAGTATAATGTTGAGCAAAATTATTGAATGGTTAGAAAAGGAGCTCTTCATCTCTAGCCATCACTATGGGTTCATTAAATCAGGTCATTCCAAATTTTTGTTTCTACTTTAAAAAAATGGATTACTGGTAATGGATATGAGAGATATGACAGACTCATCATATATGGATTTCAGCATGGTTTTGTATACAGAATTTCTCATGGTATTCTTAGGGAGATGGGGGATGGATTAGTATTATTAACTGACTTAACACTGTTGACTAAAGAATACTGATTAATGGTTCTAAGGATAGCTAAGGAACTGAACTTGGTTCTATTATAAATTCTCTGTGAATTTTTTTTTGTATACAACTTTGATGATAAAAAACTAACTTTTCAGATTTATAGGTGACACAAACTGGGAGGAAAAGCTAATGTATTGGCTAAAAAGTCAGTGTTGAAGGTTTGGGCTGAAACTAAGAATGGGAAAAGTGAGAGGATTAACGTACAGTTATACCGTAAAAAATCAACTATAAAAAGTTATTGGATCTATATGAAAAAGAGCATTTTTGCTGACTCAACCTAAAGTAACTTCAGGCTACATTAATATTATCATCGAGTCAAAAACAGGGAGATGATAGTCCAACTAATTCTGACTAGAGTTGACTGAAGTCTTATGTTCCATATTGGGAGCTGTGTTTTGTTGAAGAGGAACATCCACATTTTGGAGCACAAACAGATATGCTAATGAGAACTGAAAATTTTGTAGACTATGGAGAAATAGTTAAAATGGATGAAAGGATAGCAGATATTTAATCTAGGAAGAGACTATAATAAAGATGTATGTGATAGCTGCCTTATAATATTTGATGGGACATTGCATGTTTTGTTTATATAATTTTAAAACTTCAAACTGGAACTGATAGATGGATGTCACATCTATCTATTTTTGTTTCATAATGAAGAATTTTCTAATAAAGTTATCTGTAAAGTTAAGTAAATTGTCATTTGAGATTGTGAATTACCCATCAGTAACAGTATTCATGTTGGTTAACTCTCTGGGAGTGATACTGTAATGGGTATTTTTGCTCTGGTTGGTAGGTTGGACTAGATAATCTTCAAGATTCCTTTTAACAGTATGATTGTATGGAATATTAATATTTAGAGATGCTTACTCCATTTTCCATTTTGAAAAGATTCTGTCTTATTACATTTACAGAACCTATCAAATACATTAATGTTGTATAAATATCAACTTTTAAGGAGTAGTGAGTTGAACAGTATGCTTTACTAAGCCCCCAGAAATACCAGGTTTTAGGTTGCTTGCTACTGTAGATTATGTTCTTTGCAGATTTCACACAAGTTTTAACTTAGAATGTATTTCTAAACCATTTTGGTGTTTTTTTTTAAAACATGACTTTTAGATTTCCATTACATGATTATACTGATAGAAAAGGTCAAATTGACAAGTGACTCTTTTTTTTTCCAAACAATTTATCTTTTTCATTCTCCAGGGAGAATTGTAAAAACAGTGAATCTTCAGGTATCTGTTCAGGCATGTAGCATTTTATTTATATTGCTGTATGTAGGATATGCATTGTTTGTCAGATGAGCATCGAACTAAATAGCTGAAACTCAGCAGTCGTTTTCAGATTTTATTTAGGAGTGAACTGTTTGCTTGCTAAAAGTGAGTAAAATTTGTTGTAATTAATCATACTTGGAAACATAATGAACCAGTTCATACTGATGTAATGAAATTGTCACTAAAGCAAGCTTAATTTTGTTGTTTTCTTTTCTTAAAACAAGGTGCACTAGTAATGGTGCACTTTATATCTGTACTGTCTTTATATCTGATAGCTCTTGTTTGTTACATGCCAGGAATTATCCTATATTTTAATATATGTCTTATTTAAATTTTCAATAGGCCTGTGATTAAAGTGATATTAAATTCATTTTATAGGTAATTTAGAATAGAAGTTTAATGATTTTGCTAAGGTTACCAGCTAATAAGTGACAGAGCTGGAATTCAAACCTAGGTCTGTCTGCTTCCAAAGCCTATACTCTTTCCATTCTGCTGCCAATTTACCTGCTTTATTTTTCCATCTGACTCTTAACCATAATACCTACAGGCAAGGGCAAATCTTGAGGTGCAAATAGGTAATAAAGTAGAAAAAGTAAATGTAGAAATCTGCTTATGTTATCAAATAACATCCAGAAAATCTATAACAACATTGAAATTTGAGGGAAAAGGTTGGAACAGACAGATTTGTTTTTAAATTTTTTAAAACTGAACTAATTTTAGACTTACAGAATGCAGTACAGCTATCAAGAACAGGAAAGTAACATTGGTACAATAGTCACAAAATTGTAGACCTTTTCAAATTTTTCCATTGATGTTCTTTTCCCATTCCAGGATGTTATCCGTGATCTCACGTTGTATTTAGTTGTTTCTCCTTAGTCTCTTCCAGCCTGTAACAGTTCCTCAGCCTTTCCTTGTCTTTGCTTGCCATTTTTGAAGAGCACTGATCAGTTATTAATATTTTGTAGAATATCCCTCAGTTTGGGTTTGTCTGATGTTTGTTTTCTCGTGATGGGAATCAATCTATGCATTTTTGGCAGAAGTGCCACAAAAATGGCATTGTGTCTTTCTCAATGTATTGTTATGAAGAGATTCATGATGATAATGTATTTTATTATATAGTTCACAGGTGATATTTACCTTGATGGCTTTAAGTTTATGTGGGGGTTTTCCACTGTAATGTTACTGTCTTTATATCTGTACTGTCTTTATATCTGTTGATAAATGTCTTGGGGGAGATACCTTGAGACTGCAAATCCTGCTTCTCCTCAAATTTTCACTCACTATTAGCATCGATGCATGGATGTTGTCTGCAACATTTGTCATTGTGGTGTCTGCCTAATGGTGCTTCTCTGTTTGTCTTTTTCCTTCTTTCACTGTAAGAAACAGCTGTCTCATTGCTAACATTTATTTAATTATTTGTATCAGTATGGACTTACATATATTTAATTTATTGTATGGATTAAAGTCCAATGCTATCATTATTTTGTTGTTCAAGTTGTGCCAGCTTTAGCCTTTAGGAGCTCCTTCAGGTTGGCTTCCATATTCTCATATCCTGTTGTTTTTCACAGCATTTCTCTACTTTCTGGCACCACAACAAGTTCCAGGCTCATCTTGTGTTTTCCCTGTTCCACCTCTGGAATCAGCTGCTTTGTTCCTTTTATTGGAGAATGGTATTTAGAGGCCAAGATTTGGGCACTAAGTGTGTTTACTGTTGCTGTAGAGTCATTGCTTCTAGGATCTCTCAATGGATAGCTAGGAAATACTTTTATATATACAACTACGTTACAAATGAATAACATAAGCATACTGAAGGGGGTAAGACTAACCTAATGTGTTTTAAAACATTTTAGGTATTTAGAAAATTAGCAAACTTATCAATGCACAGATTGTATTAGTCTGCGTTCAACAAATTCATACAGGAGTGTATCACAGCCATTCTTTGACGCCCCTAAAATGGAGGGTAATTGTGACACGTCTTCTGGTTTGTTAATCAATTTTTTTTTTTTTTTTGAGATGGAGTCTCGCTTTGTTGCCAGGCTGGAGTGCAGTGGTGCAATCTTGGCTCACTGCAACCTCTGCCTCCCGGGTTCAAGTGATTCTCCTGCCTCAGCCTCCCAAGTAGCTAGGACTACAGGCGCGTGCCACCACGCCCAGCTAATTTTTATATTTTTAGTAGTGACAGGGTTTCACCATGTTGGCTAGGATGGTCTCGATCTCTTGACCTTGTGATCTGCCCGCCTTGGCCTCCCAAAGTGTTGGGATTACAGGCGTGAGCCACCACACCTGGCCTGTGAATCAGTTTTTAAAAGTGGCTGGATTCGCTGTAAACAAATGATGAACTTAATATTAGTGAACAGCTTGAATGACACCTATGAACTGTGAGGTGTTTGAGGTAATGAAAGTTGATGACAATGGGAGTCTTCAAGGAGGAAAGAATAATACGGACGTGAATAGCCAACTAATAGAAATAAAGACATGCTTGATGCTGTGTTATTGATCTAGTCTGTTAATAGGGGTTTAGATATGAAGATCATTGTTTGCTCAGTGACAAACTAATGTTTGGTAGTTTTCTTTGTTACATTACAAAAAAGGAGAGCTCAATTAAGAAACAGATACTCATATTTTAGTTGATCACTTTATATGTTTAAATAGTTGTGTATTACTTAGGCTGCCATAGGAAAATGCTTGGTGGCTTAAACAACAGAAATTTATTTTCTCACAGTTCTGGAGGCTGGAAGTCCCAGATCAGGATGCCAGCGTGGTCATGTTCTGGTGAGGGCTCTTTTCATGGCTTGCAGATGACCTGTGTGCTCACATGGCCATTCTTTGGTGCATGTGCATAGAGAAAGAGAGAGGTCTTTCTGCCTCCTTCTCCTTTTCCTCCCTCCCCCTCCTCACTCCTCCTCACTCCTCCTCCCTCTTCCTCCCTCTTCTTCCTCACTCTTCCTCCTCCTCACCACCAATCCTACTGGAATAGGACTTCACCTTTATGACCTCATTTAAACTTAATTACTTCCTCAAAGCCCTGTCTTCAAATACAGTCCCATCGGGGGGTTAGGGCTTCAACAAATGAACTTTAGGAAGACAAAATTCAGTCCTTAACAATTTAGATGATATATTTTAGTGTTCCTAAATGATTTAATGTAATTTTAACTTAATAGTTTTATGTTGTTTACATTTTGACAGTTTTGACTGATGAGTCTTTTCTCATTCTCACATTAATTTACCTTGGTTAATTAAGATATGACATTTTATAGTATATACTATATCCCATTTAGAGCAGAGTATATGCTCTTGAAAGTGCTGCTGGATTATTAGCATAGTCTAACATCTTTCTTTGGCATCAGCTTTGTCCTCTTCAATTCCCTTTATATCATAGCGTGCTTCTGGCCTTGGCTATTGCTTCTGTCATCAGTGTTCCTATAATTTCTGTAAATATTCACTACAGTAATGTTTGTTATGCTCTTCAAAATGAGAAAAGGGTTTCCACGATCCATAAAAGATTGCTAGCCTTAATCTTCTGCTTCTTAGACCATTTTCTTTAAAAGTTTAGAACTGTAGTAAGAGTGGGTTTTTAAGATCCAGGAAAACACTATTCTTATTTGTTTTAGCAGCTTCAGCGTTATCCTGGCCACCATTATGTTAATGGCAACCTACTAGAATACCAAAAAAGAAAAAAAGTGAAAGATGTGGTGCTTACTGCCTTGTGGCCTTGTAGAACACACAGATTAGCTGAGTGCGTATGACAGCACTCACAGCATAGGAGAAAAATTTCATTTTAATAGGACAATGTAATGTACTTATTTTATATATATATATATATATATATATAGAAAATATTTCAAAGAGAAATAGTGTTGAAATAGTGTTATAATGAATTACAGTGCCTGACACGACATTAAACAATGTAAAACGGTATCTAAATTTCAGTTGATTTTGTTTATGTCCCTTTCAGGGTATTGTAGCAAACCTAATGGAGGTGTTGCCCACAAGGACTTTTATTGTGTTAGGTTTGGCCTCAGCTAGACTAGGCAAATACATTGGTAGCCAAACCTGGATGAATGAAGGAAGCTATAATGAGAACAGAACCTGAGAAAGTAGAAAGCTTCTCTTCTAAGGAGATAAACCCAACCCATAAATAGGGAGCAGATAAGGTTGCAAGTAAACATGGACTGGGAACAAGAAAAATGTGAGGCTGTCAGGTACCTATTTTTTATGTGGCACCGGAGTAGGGGTTTGGTAACCAGAGAAAGGCAATAAAGCTGGTCAAAGACTTCAGGGAAGAGAAAATTTAGAGCCAGGGAACCAGTGTTTTTTCTAACATTCCTCTTTTTTAGTCTGTAGTGATGACCGCATAGTTAGTAGTAGTTTTTACTTTCCAGCTAGTGAGAACTGCAAGAGCCAGACGAGATACAAGTTCAGAGACAATCTCCTTTAGCTTTTCTTTTTTATCTGTATGTGTTCCCAGAAACATTGGAAAGATGTGTGAGTACCTGGTACTGCCATTTGGAATTGTCAAGAACTGTGAAGAGTGAGATTTTATCCAAGTTTGCCTGCCACAGTTTTACAGGTGCTGGCAATTACACGAAACTCTTGAGTCAGAGATAATGGACTTTATTAATCATGGCACAGCAAGCAGCGTGAGTTTCGTGTTTATGATGATGCCCCTTGCTACCTCAAGTCTCATACAGTTGACATGGTAGCCCAAGTGGATGCTACACTTAGTAGGTTTTCATCACAGTTGAGGAACCTCAAGTTTAAGGAACGCTAATCTTTTATAATGGTCTACAAGCACATCTGCCTGACCTCTGCCCTAGAGGGAGAAAATATCTTCATTATACTGGCTATAAACAGGTTCTCTGCTCTGGAGGGAGACAGCATCTCTGTTTTTCAAGGCTGCTTCCTATAAATATCTTTGAAAAGATAAAGTCAGCTAGGACTTTTTGAAAAATTGTAGAAATGTGAGAGACCCATGGAAAATTGTCTCCCAGTAGGAAGTGATTAGTGTGAAAAGTCTTTTGGGCTCTGAGTGTTCTTGGCTTTTCTATTCTAGTTTTCTTAGCTTATGTATCAGGAGTCAGCAAACTTTTTTCTGTAAAAGGACAGACATTAAATATTTAAGGCTTTGTAAGCCATATTCTTTCTGTCACAACTACTGAACTCAGTTGTTGTAGCAGGAAAGCAGCCACAGACAATACATAAATGGATGAACCTGGTTGTGTTCCAATAAAACCTTATTTATAGATATTGAAATTTGAATTTCATGTAATTTTCACATATCACAAAGTGATTTTTTTTCCAACCACTTAAAAATGTAAAATCACTTTTACCTCGTGGATGTACAAAAACAAGTGGCAGGACAAATCAGGCAGGCAGGCAGTAGTTTTAGATGATGGATTTTGTTAATATAATATATTGTTTTAATACAGCATTCTTGCAACATAGCAATTGATGTTTCTAAAATGTTTTCTCATAAATTACCCCAATTTGGCTTCAGAGAGCATTGTCATCTCCATTTTATGGTAAGGAAACTAATGCATTGAGAAGGAAGATGACCTGTTGACCTACCCAGATTCATAAAACTAGTTAAGTGACAGAGCCAAGACTGACTGTATTCTGGACTCTTTTCCCCATAGTATGTACAGGTTAAATATTCATAATCAGTATCATGTCATATATCTTTTGTTGTCAGAATATTCATTTATTGCCAGAATGCTTAGAGTCTTATAAATAATAATGATAATAATAATGCATGATCGTTTCTAATTTTCTTTATTACTATATTCTACTCTCCAGCTATTTTAATATTGAATAATTGTTATTTTCACAAAAGCTGGATATAGGAGGTAAAGGGCATTAGTTAACAAAATTTGGTAAAACATTGGTAGTTGAATAGTACAGACATTCATACACTATATTTTCCATCTTTTCAAAGATAATAATTGATTTTATTTTCAGATATATATCGTCAAAATAAACAGTATAGAAGATCCCTCCCTCCAGTCACCTGTGTTCATGCCGATCTAATATTTTAATTTATCCAGTAACTTTTATGCAAATTTTTAAACTCGAGATGTTGAGAACTTTTTCTATAGTAATGTCTGGATTGCTTCTCTGTCAGGTGGTTGAAGATTATGCTGGAAGATGGCAGGTCCCTTTGCCACAGCTTCAGGTTCTTCAGACTGCCCTTTGTTGTTTTACAACAGCCAGTGCATCATTCCCAGATGAATGTGAGCATGTACAATATGTTTTGAGTAGCCTTGCTGTGTAAGTACTTTTTACTTCTTATAAATGCATTATTTTTCTTGATGTGTTTGAGAATTTGTTTTTGATAATTTCTTCTGAAGAAGAAACCTTTCCTAAAGTATTCCCTCAAAAAGAAATGTTTATTTTTTTCACTGAAGTATTCAGGTTTAATTTTGAACATGTAACCATAATTTTACTTTAAGTTTTAATAGTTAAATGGAATTTTGATATACAGATTCTTCTAGTTACTACAAGCACTTTACTTTCCTTTTTAATTCTCCAGATTGCCTTGGGAAGCTCTAATGGTAAGTCCCAGAATACAGCAGTTTAGGCTATGATAGTTACCAGAGAGACCTTAAATCAGGTCAGAAAGAGGTTAGGAAAATCCTGTTTGTTTGTTTTGTTGTTTTGTTCTTTTTGAGAAGGAGTCTCGCTCTGTCGCCCAGGCTGGAGTGCAGTGGTGCCATCTCGGCTCACTGCAAGCTCCCCCTCCCGGGTTCACGCCATTCTCCTGCCTCAGCCTCCCAAGTAGCTGGGACTACAGGCGCCCGCCACCACGCCTGGCTAATTTTTTGTATTTTTAGTAGAGATGGGGTTTCACCATGTTAGCCAGGATGGTCTTGATCTCCTGACCTCGTGATCTGCCTACCTTGGCCTCCCAAAGTGCTGGGATTACAGGCTTGAGCCACCGTGCCCAGCCCATTGTTTTGTTTTTTTGAGACAGAGTCTCTCTGTCACCCAGGCCGGAGTGCAGTGGTGTGATCTTGGTTCACCGCAACCTCTACCTCCCAGGTTCAAGTGATTCTCATGCCTCAGCCCCAGAGTACTTGGGACCACAGGTGTGCACCACCATGCCTGGATAATTTTTGTATTTTTAGTAGAGACAGGGTTTCACCGTGTTGGCCAGGCTGGTCTTGAACTCCTGACAGGTGATCTGCCCACCTTGGCCTTCCAAAGTGCTGGGATTACAGGCGTGAGCTACCACACCTGGCTGAAAATCCTGGTTTTTAAAAAATGCTTATAGAGAACTTCAAATTAAAGATTAAAAACTGAACATTTGTGATTATGCCTTCTGCCCTCCTAAGAACCCACTAAAATTATAGTAAAGAAGTAAAAGAGAGAAGAGAATGAAAATAAATAGAGAAAGATTATCAGTGAATGAACGATTTCTACAGTTTTCTGGGGGACAGAAAGCAGATAGAGGAATGGTCATTGCAACACAGCGGAGCAAGTCACAGCTTCATCTGTTATTTATTTATACCTCAAATTGTACTCACACCACAACAGTGGCTTATAAAAACACTTATTACAAATTGCAATAGAAAATATCAGAGTATGTCTCATAGGATAAGTATTATTATGTGAAACATTTATTTAGGGGAGAATGCAGATAAATTAATTACAATTTTTTAATGTAGTTCAATCACCAGGCCTTACGGACAGGTTGGGGTGGGGAAACAGCATTAGAGGTTGAGTATCCCTAATCTGATAATCCAAAATCTGACATCTGAAATGCTCCAAAATTCGAAACTCTTTGAGTGCTAACGTGATACTCAAAGGAAACGCTCATTGGAACGTTACAGATTTCAGATTTCTGGATTAGGGATGCTCAATCAGTAAGTATAAATACAAATACTACAAAATCCAAAACCTGAAACATTTCTAATTCTGAGCATTTCAGATAAGGGACACTCAACCTATACTACTTTTTTATTTCCTCTATATAAATTAAATAACCTTGGAGCAATGACCTTTGCATTCTGGCATTTACAGATTTCTCAGTGAGACTACTAGCTAATTACTTAATTACGCTAAAGAAAAATTCATCAGTCAAGAAACTCCAGACTCATGCTCATAGGGCTCCCAATTATTTACATATGGCCTGGTTTTTACATATTAATGAATATCTAAGAATCATCAGATATTTAAAAATGCCTTCAATATGAAAAAATGCAATGAAAAAGTGAAAAATAATTTTGAAAGAAAGTGTTAATGTTGAAAATAAAAATGAAATATAAAATCTATAATTAGCATTTTTAGAGAGAATTGAGAAGTTACGTACAACATTAAAAACATCAGTATCACGCTGTGTGAAAGGAATAATGAGATATGAAAAATGAATTTGAAATTAAGAAAATATGATGGTTAAAATTTAAAGTTCTGTAGGAAGGTTGGAAGATGTAAAGCTGAAGAAGAAATCCAGAATGTAAAACAAAACCAAAGAGAAATTTAAATGTGTGTGTGTACACTGTGCGTCTTTAAAAATTGATTTGTATATATTTGAAATTGTAGGAGGGAAAGAGAGTTTAGAATATATTATTTAGATTTGTAAGAGTGAGGCAGTTTAAAAAAAAACCTTTATTTATGTATGTATGTATGTATGGATGGATGGATGGATGGATGGATGGATGGATGGAGTCTGGCTCTGTCGCCTAGGTTGGAGTACAGTGGCATGATCTCGGCTCACTGCAACCTACATCTCCTGGGTTCAAGCAATTCTCCTGCCTCAGCCTCCCGAGTAGCTGGGATGACAGGCACCCGCCACCATGCCTGGCTAATTTTTGTATTTTTAGTAGAGATGGGATTTCACCATGTTGGCCAGGCTGGTTTTGAACTCCTGACCTCAGATGATCTACCCACCTCAGGCTCCCAAAGTGCTGGGATTACAGGCATGAGCTACCACGCCTGACCTAAAAAAAACTGTATTAAAAAAATTATATTTATTTTGTGATGCCGGAAGGAATATGTGAATTTATTTGTATTTGAACTTTTTGATTATACCTGGCAAGTCTTACTCAAGCTTACGTATTAAAAAAAAAAAAAAAAAAGCCCGGGTGCGGTGGCTCACGCCTGTAATCCCAGCACTTTGGGAGGCCGAGGCGGGTGGATCACAAGGTCAAGAGATCGAGACCATCCTAGCCAACATGGTGAAACCCTGTCTCTACTAAAAATACAAAAAATTAGCCAGGCGTGGTGGCAAGCGCCTGTAATCCCAGCTACTTGGGAGGCTGAGGCAGGAGAATCACTTGAACCCAGGAGGCGGAGGTTGCAGTGAGCCAAGATCATGCCATTGCACTCTAGCCTGGGCAAAAAGAGCAAAACTCTGTTTAAAAAAAAAAAAATGTTTTATTAGATAACTAAGCCATAGAAAAGCAAGAACTGGGACTAGTTTCAGGATTTTCTGAATCTAGAGAATAAAATAAACAGTTGCTAGATGAGCTAATGTCATCTAGAAACTGTTTCTTTCCATCTTTCCTCTTTGGGCTTTATTCTTTCAGGGCTGTTGACAGTTCTAGGATTAAGCTCAGTTTATTAACCAAGGAGGAAGAAACCCCTTCTGCCTACTACAGATCCCAAAAATATCTTGAGAAGAACTCTGGTCAGACCTGAGTTATGTTCCTACTGCTTAGATTAATCACTGTGTTGAGAATGTCATAAGATTTTGGGCTAGTCCATGGCTAGGGAAAAGGAGAATAAGTCATGCGCTGCATAAAGATGTTTCATATGAGATGGTGGTACCATGAGATTATAATGGAGCTGAAAAATTCCTATTGCCTAGTGAAGTCATAGCTGCCATAATGTAGTGCAACACATTATTCATGCTTGTGGTGATGCTGGTGTAAACAAACCTACGGCTCTGCCAGTTAGATAAAAGTATAGCATATAGAATTATACATATAATACATAATACTTGACAGTGATAATTATATTATTGATTTATGTACATGCTCTACTTTTTATTGTTATTTTAGAGTGTACCTCTTCTACCTATTAAAAAAAGGTTAACTGTAAAACAGCCACAGGCAGGTTCTTCTGAAGGCATTCCAGAAAAAGACATTGTTATCATATAAGGTAACAGCTTCATGCATGTTATTGCCCCTGAAGAACTTCCATTGTGACAAGATTTGGAGGTGAAAGAAAATTATATTGATGACCCTGATTCTATGTAGAACTAGGCTGATCAGTATGTGACTTAGTTTTTAACAACAGCAAGAAAAATGTAAAATACAAAAATGAAAAAATTTTTAAAAATGGAAAAAATTTAAAGAATAAGGATATAAAGAGAAAATATTTTTATACAGCTGTACAAATGTGTTTGTGTTTTGAGCTAAATGTTACAAAATAGTCAAAAAGTTAAAAGTAAAAAGTTTATAAAGGTTATAATAAGGCTAATTTATTATTAAAGAAAAAAATTTTTATAAGTGCGGTATAGCCTACATATACAGTGTTTATATTTCTACATGAGTGTGTAGTCATGTCATAGGTCTTTACATTCATTCACCATTCACTCACTGACACACCTATAACAACATCATTCTTGCAAGCTCCATTCATGGTAAGTGCCCTGTACACATAAACAGCTTTTATCTTTTACACCAGGGGTGTCCAATCTTATGGCTTCCCTGGCCACATTGGAAGAATAGGGATTGTCTTGGCCCATACATAAAATACAGTAACACTGACGACATCTGATAAGCTAAGAAAAAAAAATTGCAAAAAGATTACGTAATGTTTTAAGAAAGTTTACGAATTTGTGTTGGGCCTCATTCAAAGCCATCTTGGGCTGCATGCAGGCTGCGAGTTGGACAAGCTTGTTTTATGCTATATTTTTACTTACTTTTGTCTGTTTAGATACACAAATACTATTGTTACAGTTGCCTATGGTATTCAGTACAGTAGCATGCTATACAGGTTTGTAGCCCAGGTGTGTAGTAGACTATACCATTTAGCTTTGTGTATGTACATTAAGTGATGTTCACACAAGGACAAAATCACCTAATGATGCATTTCTCAGAACATATCCCTGTCGTTAAGCAACATAATGACTGTACTATGTTAGCTGCCCCATCAGAACCACAGAAGTGTTGGAGAGAGGAGCAATTTCCTTAAAGAACTGGCTACGTAGACAAAAATAATAAAAAATAATAAATAATCACACTACAAGGAAAATGTTTACATTATTTTGCAGATTACCAAAACTGTTTCAGTTATTCTCTACTGATTTTTGAGGAAAATATGTATTAAAATAAATTATTCGTAAGGAAGAAGTATTGCTGTTTCAGTGCCTATTGGAATTTTTTCCCTCTTTCATCTATATAATCTTTGTTAACTTTAGTGTTATGTGAAAATTCTTATACAACTTTCAAAAGTTCTTTGGTTTAAAATGTCATTTATTGACTTCTCTTGCATTGCCTGCTAGCTGATATGGTTTCACTGTGTCCCCACCCAAATCTCATCTTGAATTGTAGCTTCCATAATCTCCACGTGTCATGGAAGGGACCCAATGGGAGGTAATTGAATCATGGGGTCGGGTTTTTCCTGTGCTGTTCTCATGATAGTGAATAAGTCTCATGAGATCTGATGGTTTTATAAAGGGCAGTTCCCCTGCACATGCTCTCTTGCCTGCCGCCATGTAAGACATGCCTTTGTTCCTCCTTCGCCTTCTGCTGTGATTGTGAGGCCTCCTCAGCCATGTAGAACTGTGAGTCCATTAAACCTCTTTTTCTTCATAAATGACCCAGTCTCGGGTATTTCTTCATAGCAGTATGAAAATGGACTAAAACACTAGCTTTTCTACTACTGCCCATGTAAAAAATAATGTGTTAAGCAGAAGCAAATCTTATCTAAGATGTTCAATGTAAGGCAAAAGAAATATGTTATCTTGATGACTTACTAAATAGTAAGATTTCTTAGAAGGAAAACTTTTTGCATTATTTGTATTTACTTTACAGAGAAGTTAATTATATTTTCCATACCAGAAGAAAAATGGGGAAATAGCAACATGTTGGTCCTACTAAAAGAGTAGTAAATCTACAATAGTATGTTATTTTATTTAAATATTTAATCAAAAAATTTTTCTAACAATTACTGCATAATTATTTGGTCATTTATTCTGTAAAGCTCTGCTTGCTTCTAGGGATAAAATAGAATATAAGATAGATAAATTCTTGTTCTCCAAGATGTTACAGAGCTAAGAGATATTATATTAAACAAGCAGTTATACTTTTATATAATTGTAGTTAGGAGAGAATTACAGAATGCAATGAGAGGGCATAACAGGGACTTGACCTGTCTTGGAGGTCAGCAAAAATGTGCTGGGTGAGCTAACTTGCTGTACTCTGAAGGAATGACAGGAATAACTTAGATGAAGGAGCAGAAGAGCCTCTTAGGGATGGCAAACAGAATGTTTAAGGCACCTGGATATTAACAGATTTCAATATATTTATTATCTGTTTTTACAGTTCTTTTGATTTACATCATGACTTTAAATTTTTTATTTGCTTGACATATGAAGTTTATTAAATAATGTTATAAAATAATTTAAGGAGATTATGTCTTTTATATATGTATAACATTTACAAATAAAATATGTTATATGGAAAAATTGTAAGTTACTATATTCTCTGGCAGTATTGTCTGGTATATATGTCCACCTTAATAAAAGCCTTTATCTACTTTGTAATTATACATATGTATTGATCTGCCTTCTATCAGCTGGGACACTTGAAAATTAGAGTTTTGCTAGTGTTGTCTACAGGGAAGGAAAGTGGATTCTGCTTTTATTTATACTTGAGTGTTATTTCAGATGTTACAGAAATAAAAAGTCATGTAGTGAATTGTCTTAAATCAGCTAATTATAATTCTGTCTAACTTTACCTGGGTTGACTATCCTTATAAGATGTATTTTCTGAAGAAACAGAGATTTTGCTTTGTGCATATGGACCTCAAATTCATTCTTTGTAGATAAGAAAACTGAAGCCTGAAAAGTTGGGGGACTTTTGCAAATTGAGTTAATTAAGTTCTTACTGGTTTTTTCCTTTTGCCTTGTTTTAGATTGGTTAAATACTGATTCCTAAGTTAAGTTTCACAGGTGAAACAAAGCCAAACACCCTGAAACTAAGTGGACTTTCAGGCAGAAAATATAGACTTTATAAGTTTTACATAAAAGAAAAGCAAATTGTAATGCTGCCTTCACAGCCTCCTTTTACCCAACAGAAAGTAAATGTTCATAGATTTCAGCATTCCAGGTAGAGGTGAGTTATGGGACAGCAGGTATTTGCCTGACGGCCACTAGGTCCACAAGAATCACTGGAGGAGGAACTAGTTCAGCTAGTTGTATTTGGTGTGTGCACTGGCAAAGACTAAATGGTGTATTGGCAAGCTGTCTAAGAGAAAAGACCAAAGGGTCTTGTCTTCATGGAGCTAAGTGGGTATAATCAGTCTCTTATTTTGAGTGGCTAGATATTCTTGGACTAGACTACACATGTAATGTTAGATCACTGATCCTTTCTGATTATGTTGCTAAATTGTACTGTATTTCATACAGCATTTATGCCTAGCCTAACTTCAGTCTCTACTCTATAATCAAGTTTTACTTGATTGCATTTATAATTTAAGTCTAGGCTTTCAACTAATTTAGGAAATGACTTGGAAATAAAGGAAGAAAGGCTAATTATAAAGGTACATTTGTTTTTTGCGGGGGCTGGGCCCCACAAAAGGTGTTTGTATTGTAGGTCCCAATGAGTATTGCCCATCTCCACAGCATCTAGTACTCTTACTCCTGACTCTTTATATTGACGAACAATTATTCAACACCTTAACCAATTTTGTATCTATTGTCTTTACTAATCATTTGTGACATGTGAACTTAGTCATTTGAGAGAAAAATCTAGGTCGTCTAGCGTTCTATTTCTTTGTCTTCTCTGAGGAAGAGATAATATTCTTTTTTTTTTTTGAGGCAGTTGGTGGTCTTAATTCTTTTCTCTTACTAAACTTCATGAGATGGTTTTGTTCTTCCCTATTACACTAGAGTATTTTGTTTATAGGATTTGTTGTAGCTAAAGTCAATATTAAAAAACTCTTAGTGCATTTGTTTGTATTGGCCATCGTTAGAAACTTAGTATTGCATTTGGTCTTAGTTGTGACTAGCATCTTTTCCCCGGTAATTTTGGTCTTTATTGCTCCTTTTATTGATTTTGGAGTAAAGTGGTTGGGACTATAGTTGTTTTATGAGCAAAGAGATAGATTACTAATTGGTATATTTCTGTTGGTAGGGATGGAAAGTGATCAGGGGAAAAGAAATACCCTGTTCCCACCTACATTAGTATTTATATCAGAATCTAGAGGGCTGTAGATGTGTAGTTTTGGAAAATGGTATTTATTGTTTTTCTATTCTAAAGGAAGGAAAGCTTGATAGTTCTCTTGGTCAGTGTGGATATACAAAAATTAGAGCAAAACAGCAGTTGACTACAAGCTACTATTAGGAAGATCTTTATTCTTTAAAAGTTATTCTTTAAAAGATGTATATAGTCATTATGAATGGTGTAAGTACATTTGAATTTTTTTATTTTGAATGGCTTAATCTTGTGCTAAGTCAGATCATTAAAAAACTACAGAGCTGAACTTTTTTTTCTTTTTAACTTCCTTCCCACTAATATTTTTGATTTATAGAACTAGACTACAATATTATACTGGCAGCTTTTACTGTGGAATGAAGAAAAAAGAAAAAAAATTACATGAAATGCTTCTGTAATGATAAAATTGACAAAATTTTGCTCACTGCTTCTTACAAAGAAAACTTATGAGAAATTATCCCAGGATTAAGGCACTGGAAGAATTTCTTCCAAGTTTGCTGTATAAGAAGCAATGAACAGAATTATAGAATTCAAAATATTTAAGCAAATCATATATTTTTAGTAATTTATTGGTTGAAGCTTATTAGCTATAGTTTTCTTAAGCTTTGGTATCTTGAAAAGGTTTTCCCTTTATAAGAAAAAATTTGCTCCTTGTTTTGTAGGGAATAATTTTCAATGAATTCACTTTTGTTTCCTTTTTTATTTTTTCCCCCTATGAATAGGACTATCAGTTATGTTAAAGAGAACCAATACCATCTTTTCTCCTGTGGAGCACAGTGATAAGCATATTTTATCAAGGATATGTTTAGGATAGAAAGGGGTGGGGAGAAAGGAAGAGACAGGAATGTGAATGTATTATGTACTAAGAGAAGTGACAGGGATCACCCCCTTTTAGCCCTTTGCTGTTTTTTCCTCTTTGGTTTCTGTATCCTCAAGGTACGCATGCAACATCAGTCTCTCTTCATAAAATGCTGTCATAATTTGTAGACAGTTCACATTAGCTTCTTTTGCAAGAACCAGGTCTGCTTCATCTGTCTTTCCATTTCATTAAAAACATAAATTGCCACAGGAATCTGTTGCCCCAATGATCTTTTCTGGTTCTAGTCTTATCTCGAAGCCCCAAGCAATATCATCACTCTGTTCTCTTTTTTGGACTTGATACTGTCAGCACAGTTTGAGAAATTGGATTTCTTTGCTACTTTTTGACTTCTCCCCAGGCTTGTTATTTTAACCCTCCTTCATCATCTTAAACTTTTTTGTAAACTAAGAAATGAGCTAAAGGCAATCCAAGTTTTTCTCAGATTCCCAAGTATTGTGCTCCTCAGAAAAGCCTTTCCACTTCAGCAGATACTCCACTTGCCACTTAACCACATGCCTGTCTAGCACCTTCTCCACAGTCTACTCCTCTTCATTCTCTGATGAAATGTTAGCTGTGTGCTTGGTTTTCTTTCCCGTGTTGCACTGTTCTACCTGAAGGACTAAGGCCACTGCATCCCAGATACCCCCAGTTTGTTCTTTCCCTCTGGGCTATCAGTAGTGGCCTCCCCTCCTGGGTCTAGGGCTTGGCAGACTGACCTTCATTTTCTTTTTGATTAAGATCTGTTTCAGTCAAGATTCAATTAGGTAAATGTCAACCATCCTAGATAATTAAGTAGAAGGAACTTATTCATAGAATCACTTTTAAAGGTGTTAGATGATCTGAGAGAATAGACAGGAGATGGTGAACCTGAACATTGGCAATTGTGGCAAGTTGCTGTTAGCTCTAGAAATGGAGGGACAAAGGAAGAAGAAAGTATTACTAGAGCCCACAGACAAGAGATGGTTGATGAGAGGAAGCAGCACCGATTTGTGTGAGAGGGTACCTCTGAAGAGATATAACTACTGCTATAGAGGATCTTGAAGCAGAGGGGTAAGGGGAGAAAGACCCTCATTTCTCCTTCCTCCTGACTTCTGACTTCTGCCATTGACTCCCTTTAGCCAAAACTAACCAGAACCCAAAGACCTTTGTTTTGGAAGACATTTCCACTGATTATTGAATTTTAGATTGGCAATTTTTTTCTTCCCATACTTTAAAGAAGTCCATCCAGTGTCTTCTGGCCACATTTTCTTCTGATGAAAAATCTGCTTTTTATCTGGTTCCATGTATATAATGTACCCTTTTAGCGGCTTGCTTTTAAGATTTCATCTTTATCACTTTTAATTTTTGAGTAGGTAATACATGTTCATGGTTCAAAATTCGAAAAGTGTGGCGTATACAATGAGATACCCTTGCCATTTACATTTACCTGTCCCCTAGTTTCCTAGTTTCTGTATCTGTAGCCATCCAGTGTACTTATTTTCATGAGTTTTCCTTTCAGATATATAATGCATATATAAGAAAAAAACCTCATATTATCATTTTAGACAAATGCTAGTATACTATACACACTGTTTTGTATCTCTGTTTTTCACTTAGATACCTTTCCCCATCAGCATAGAAAGAACACTGGTCATCACATTGGCTGTAGAGTATTTCACTCTTATGTGTATATCAAAATGTAATTAACCAGCCCCTTACTAATGGATAGTTCTTGTTTCAATCTTTTGCTGTTATCAACAACCCTTTAATGAATTACCATGTATGACCGGAATATGTACAAGGGTATTTGTATATCTTAGATGTATCCTAGGAGTAGATTAATTGCTAGATCAAAGAGTGTAATTTATCACTTATCACACATTTATACAAGGAATGTAATTTTTCATTTTGGTAGATGCTGCCAAATTTCCTCTGTAAAGGTTGAACCAATTTACATTCTTGCCAGCAAGGTAAGAGAGAACCAGTTTTCTCACACCTTTGTCAACAGTTTTTTTTTTTTTAAATAATGGGAGACTTTAACACCCACTGTCAATATTAGACAGATCAATGAGACAGAAGGTTAACAAGGATATCTGGGACTTGAACTCAGCTCTGCACCAAGCAGACCTAACAGACATCTACTGAACTCTCCACCCCAAATCGACAGAATATACATTCTTCTCAACACCACATCACACTTATTCCAAAATTGACCACATAATTGGAAGTAAAACACTCCTCAGCAAATGTAAAAGAACAGAAATCACAAGATACTGTCTCTCAGACCACAGTGCAATCAAATTAGAACTCAGGATTAAGAAACTCACTCAAAACCGCTCAACTACATGGGAACTGAACAACCGGCTCCTGAATGACTACTGGGTACATAACAAAATGAATGCAGAAATAAAGATGTTCTTTGAAACCAATGAGAACAAAGACACAACATAACAGAATATCTGCGACACATTTAAAGCAGTGTGTAGAGGGAAATTTATAGCACTAAATGCCCACAAGAGAAAGCAGGAAAGATCTAAAATTGACACCCTAATATCACAATTAAAAGTACTAGAGAAGCAAGAGCAAACAAATTCAAAAGCTAGCAGAAGACAAGAAATAACTAAGATCAGAGCAGAACTGAAGGAGATAGAGACATAAAAAACCCTTCAAAAACAATCAATCCAGGAGCTGGGTTTTTGAAACGATCAACAAAATTGACAGACTGCTAGCAAGACTAATAAAGAAGAAAAGAGAGAAGAATCAAATAGATGCAATAAAAAATGATAAAGGGGATATCACCACCGATCCCACAAAAATACAAACTGCCATCAGAGAATACTATAAACACCTCTACACAAATAAACTAGAAAATCTAGAAGAAATGGATAAATTCCTGCACACATACACCCTCCAAAGACTAAACCAGGAAGAAGTTGAATCTCTGAATACACCAATAACAGGCTCTGAAATTGAGGCAATAATTAATAGCTTACCAACCAAAAAGGGTCCAGGACCAGATGGATTCACAGCCAAATTCTACCAGAGGTACAAAGAGGAGCTGGTATCATTCGTTCTCAAACTATTCCAATCAATAGAAAAAGAGGGAATCCTCCCTAACTCTTTTTATGAGGCCAGCATCATCCTGATACTAAAGCCTGGCAGAGACACAACAAAAAATGAGAATTTTAGACCAATACCCTTGATGAACATTGATGCAAAAATCCTCAGTAAAATACTGGCAAACTGAATCCAGCAGCACAGCAAAAAGCTTATCCACCATGATCAAGTGGGCTTCATCCCTGGGATGCAAGGCTGGTTCAACATACGAAAATCAATAAACGTAATCCAGCATATAAACAGAACCAAAGACAAAAACCACATGATTATCTCAATAGATGCAGAAAAGGCCTTTGACAAAATTCAACAACACTTCATGCTAAATAAAAACTCTCAATAAATTAGGTATTGATGGGACCTATCTCAAAATAATAAGAGCTATCTATGACAAACCCACAGCCAGTATCATACTGAATGGGCAAAAACTGGAAGTATTCCCTTTGAAAGCTGGCACAAGCAGGGATGCCCTCTGTCACTACTTCTATTCATCATAATGTTGGAAGTTCTGGCCGGGGCAATCAGGCGAGAGAAAGAAATAAAGGGTATTCAGTTAGGAAAAGAGGAAGTCAAATTGTCCCTGTTTGCAGATGACATGATTGTATATTTAGAAAACCCCATTGTCTCAGCCCAAAATCTCCTTAAGCTGATAGGCAACTTCAGCAAAGTCTCAGGATACAAAATCAATGTGCAAAAATCACAAGCATTCCTCTACACCAATAACAGACAGAGAGCCAAATCATGAGTGAACTCCCATTCACAATTGCTACAAAGAGAATAAAATACCTAGGAATCCAACTTACAAGGGATGTGAAGGACCTCTTCAAGGAGAACTGCAAATCACTGCTCAACAAAAGAGGTCACAAACAAATGGAAGAATATTCCATGCTCATGGATAGGAAGAATCAATATTGTGAAAACGGCCATACTGCCCAAGGTAATTTATAGATTCAATGCCATTCCCATCAAGCTACCAATGCCTTTCTTCACAGAATTGGAAAAAACTACTTTAAAGCTCATACGGAACCAAAAAAGAGCCCGCATTGCCAAGACAATCCTAAGCCAAAGAACAAAGCTGGAGGCATCACACTACCTACTTCAAACTATACTACAAGGCTACAGTAACCAAAACAGCATGGTACTGGTACCAAAACAGAGATACAGACCAATGGAACAGGACAGAGCCCTCAGAAATAATACCACACATCTACAACCATCTGATTTTGACAATCCTGACAAAAACAAGAAATGGAGAAAGGATTCCCTATTTAATAAATGGTGCCAGGAAAACTGGCTAGCCATATGTAGAAAGCTGAAAATGGGTCCCTTCCTTACACCTTATACAAAAATTAATTCAAGATGGATTAAAGACTTAAATGTTAGACCTAAAACCATAAAAACCCTAGAAGAAAACGTAGGCAATACCATTGAGGACATAGGCATGGGCAAGGACTTCATGACTAAAACACCAAAGGCAATGGCAACAAAAGCCAAAATTGACAAATAGGATCTAATTTAACTAAAGAGCTTCTGCACAGCAAAAGAAACTACCATCACAGTGAACAGGCAACCTGCAGAATGGGAGAAAATTTTTACAATCTACCCATCTGACAAAGGGCTAATATCCAGAATCTACAAAGAACTTAAACAAATTTACAAGAAAAAATCAAACAACCCCATCAGAAAGTGGGTGCCGGATATGAACAGACACTTCTCAAAAGAAGACATTTATGCAGCCAACAGACATGAAAAAATGCTCATCATCACTGGCTATCAGAGAAATGCAAATCAAAACCACAATGAGATACCATCTCACACCAGTTAGAATGACAATCATTAAAAAGTCAGGAAACAACAGGTGCTGGAGAGGATGTGGAGAAATAGGAACACTTTTACACTGTTGGTGGGACTGTAAACTAGTTCAACCATTGTGGAAGTCAGTGTGGCAATTCCTCAGGGATGTAGAACTAGAAATACCATTTGACCCAGCCATCCCATTACTGGGTATATACCCAGAGGATTATAAATCATGCTGCGCACATGTATGTTTATTGCAGCACTATTCACAATAGCAGAGACTTTGAACCAACTCAAATGTCCATCAATGATAGACTGGATTAAGAAAATGTGGCACATATACACCATGGAATACGATGCAGCCATAAAAAGGATGAGTTCATGTCCTTTGTAGGGACATGGATGAAGCTGGAAACCATCATTCTCAGCAAACTATCACAAGGAAAGAAAACCAAACACCGCCATGTTCTCACTCATAGGTGGGAATTGAACAATGAGAACACTTGGACACAGGAAGGGGAACATCACACAGCGGGGCCTGTCATGGGGTGGGGAAAGCGGGGAGGGATAGCATCAGGAGATATACCTAATGTAAATGACAAGTTAATGTGTGCAGCACACCAACATGGCACCTGTATACATATGTAACAAACCTGCACGTTGTGCACATGTACCCTAAAACTTAAAGTATAATAAAAGAAAACTTTATTATGACAATTTTCAAGTATACTTGAAAGTAAAAGTAGTAGAAGCAACTATCACCTAGCTTCAACAGTTATCAGTATATTGTCAATCTTGTTTCAGCTGTATTTCCCCACTCCTTACCCATTGCTAGTTATCTTTTTTTATGTAAAGCTTTATTAAAAAGTATAAAATCCATATAATTCACCCATTGTCAGTTTATAATTCAGTGATTTTTTGGTAAGTTTTATAGAGTTGTGCAACCATTACCACAATCCAGTTTTTCATTTTCATTACCCCAGAAAGCTCCCTCATGCTCATTTGCATTCAGTCCCCAGTGCCTACCCAGCTCAAGGCAACTACTGCTCTGCTTTCTATCTCTATAGAGTTGCTATTTCTAGACATTTCATATAAATGATATCATAGAATATGTAGTATTTTGGATACTTTCACTTAGAGCAAGTGAAAATATTTAAAAATAGTCTTGCGAAATAGTCATGTAAAATATTCTTTTAAATGACTATTTTTCACTTAGAATAATGTTCTTGAGGTTTACCTATGTTAGCATTTATCAGTAGCTCATTTCTTTTTGTGCTTCATAGATTTCAGTATATGGATATATTATATTTTATTTATGCATTCAGCAATTGATGGCTATTCAGATTACTTCCAGTTTTGGGCTATAAACATTTCTGTATGTGTCTTATGTGGCCACATCTTTTCATTTCTCCTAGGTAGATACCTAGGCATAGAATTGTTAGATGTATGATTAGTTTATGTTTAGCGTTTTGTAAAACTGCTAACCAAAGTGACTGTACGATTAAAATTCTAACCAATTTCTTATGGGGGTAGCAGTTTCTTTACATCTTCACTAATACTTTTTATCTTTTTCATAATAGCCATTTTAATGGTTATACAGTAGTATGTCATTTTGTTTTTAATTTGCATTTCCTCAGTCCTGTCGTTGGTAAGCATCTTTTTGTATGCTTTGCTATTTTATATTTTCTTTGGCAAAATCTATCAAATTTTTTTGCCCATTTTTAAATTGTATTATTTGTCATCTTACTGAGTTCTAAGAATTCTTTATGTATTCTGGATATACACTCTTTATCAGATATGTGATTTGTGATTTATCCCATGCTATATCTTGTCTTTTCATTTTCTCATTGGTGTCTTTTGAAGTTTATTGCTGGTTTAAAGAAATTTGGTTGTAATGTGTTTTGTGTAGTTTTCTTCGTGTTTCTTGATTTTAAGCTTCTTGGATCTGTGGGCTTACAATTTTTGTCAGCTTTTGGAAATGTCCTCAAAAAACTTTTTAGAAACCACTATTGTGTTTTCTTCAGGGATGCTACCTGAAGGGGAACAACAGCTGTCTTGCAGCTCATTAATAGCTCTAGTCGTTTTTTGTCTTTCTCTTTTATTTTAAATAGTTTTCTATTGCTGTACCTTTATTTTCCCATTATACTGTTATCTTCTATAATGTCAAATTTGCTGTTAATCCCATACAGTGTATTTTTCATTTCAGACATTTTATTTTTTATGTGCAAAAGCGTGATGAAGGTCTTTTTGTGTCTTCCATTTCTTTACTTAACATGGTTAATCTTTTCTCTATCACTGGGATTCACAAACTATGGCCCATGGGCCAAATCCTAAAATAGTATCTGGCAATTCAGCCTCTCCTGTAAATCCAATAGAATAGTGCAAGAATTTGAAGCCAGTGGTGCACAGAAGGTCATGATACCAACAACAAAACCCATATTCAGTTTAACTTCTAACCGGTTTTACTCATATGCTCCACAATAAAGCCCTAGCAGAAGAAAAGACATGCCTCTTTCTAGGCATAAATGCTGTTTACCTCAACCTCTACTGTCTTTTTTTTTTTTTTTTTTTTTAATAATTTCAACTTGTAGTTTAGATTCTGAGAGTATGTATGCCAGTTTGTTGCATGGATATATTGCTGAGGTTTGGGATATGAATGGTCCCATAACCCAGGTGGTAAGCATACTAACCACTAGATAGTTTTTAAATCCTACCCTCTGCCCCACTAGTAGTCTCCAGTGTCTGTTGTGCCATCTTTATGTCCATGAGTATGAAATGTTTAGCTCCCCCTTATAAGTGAGCACATGTGTTATTTGGTTTTCTGTTCATGCGTTAATTCACTTAGGATAATGGCCTTATATAATGAAGCCCAGCTTTCAAAAACCAGAAATTACAGACACATTTTTTTTTAAAAAAGAGACCCCCTATTAAGAGATAAAGCAATCAGTAGAACTAGATCCCGATATAAAGGCTATAGTGGAAAAGACAGATAATACGTTTGAGCAGATTGGAAATTTCGGCACAGAAACGTTAAGAAAGATTCAAATGGAAATTCTGGAAATAGACACATTAACAGATGAAGAATGGCTAAGACCTTCAGATTCTTTAGTAGACTTAATGCAGCTAAAGAAAGAATGAATGAACCTTGAATGTAGATTCATAGAAATACCCAAACTAAAAGGCAAGGAGAAACAGAACAGAGTGTCTAAGAATTTAGGAAAATCTAAAACTGTATAACATGTCTACTAGAATTTCAGAAGAAGATAAAATGAGGCAGAATAAATATTGACAAAATAATGGCCATGAATTTTCTTAAAATAATGTAAAGGATCCAGCTACAGAAACTAGAACACAAGTAGGTGAAAGTAACAAGAGAAAAAAAGACATGATCCAAAGAAGAATGAAGATAATGTGTAGCGGACATCTCTTCAGAAATTGCAAGTTAAAACACAATGAAGTGACAACTTTAAAGTGATGAAAGAAAGAGATGTATTAACTTTTTTTTTTTTTTTTTTTTTTGAGATGGAGTCTTGCTCTGTCTCCCAGGGTAGAGTGCATTGGCGCCATCTTGGCTCACTGCAACCTCTGCCTCTCGGGGTCAAGCGATTCTTCTGCCTCAGTCTCCCAAGTAGCTGGGATTACAGGTGCCCGCCCCTATGCCTGGCTGATTTTTTTATTTTTAGACGGGGTTTTGTCATGTTGGCCCGGCTGGTCTCGAACTCCTTACCTCAGGCGATCCACCTGCCTCGGCCTCTGCTGGGATTACAGGCCATGAGCCACCACACCTGGTCAAACTTTCAGTTCGAGAAAATATATTTCTAAAGTAAAAGAGAGAGATGTATGTAATCAAAAACTGAGGTAATTCATTTCTGGCAGGCCTGAACTACAGAAAAATGTTAAAGGGAGTTCCATAAGCAGCACCAGATGCTGGACAGAAATTTGGATGTATCTAAGGAAATAGAGTGGAAAATGGTAAATAAAAACTGAAGATAAATATCAAATTAAATTTTTCTTATTTTTAAACACTGTAAAACATAACTGATCATCTAAAGCAGGGGTTGACAAAACAGTTTTTAAAAGGGCTAGATATTTTAGACTCATGGACCGTAGTGTCTCTGTAACTACTCAGCTTTGCTCTTGTAGCAAGAAAGCAGCCATAAACACTACATAAATTAATGGATAGCGTTGTGTTTCAACACAATTTTTATACAAACTGGCAGGCAGCCTATGGGCCATATATTCCAGATGCCAGGAATAAAGCAAAAATTGTAGTGAAATATTATTGGTTTGTAGCATGTTTAAAACCAAATGAATGACAAAAATAGTACATAGGTTATTATACCTAAAGCACCATAATATTATTTGAGATTAGGCGGGATTTTTAAAGATATGTATATTTGTAAACTCTAGAGTAACCGCTAAAAACAGGTGAATGTGTTAAGCCAAAGTGGACACTAAATGGAATCTTAAAATTGCTCAGTCCCAAAGAAGGAGGAAGAAGAGGTCAAACAGAACAATGAATAGACAGAACAAACAAAACTATTAAGATGATAGGGTTTAATCTAAGCATATTAAAAATTACATAAAATTCATCCAGGCACAGTGGCTTACGCCTGTAATCCCAGCACTTTGGAAGGCCAAGGTGGGCAGATTACTTCAGGCCGGAAGTTTGAGACCAGCCTGGCCAACATAGTGAAACCCTGTCTCTACTAAAAATACCAAAAATTAGTCAGGTGTGGTGGCGCGCGCCTGTAATCCCAGCTACTCGGGAGACTGAGGCAGAAGAATCACTTGAACCCAGGAGGTGGAGGTAGCAGTGAGCTGAGTTGCACCACTGCACTCCAGCCTGAGCAAGAGAGCAAGACTCCATCTCAGAAAACAAACATAAATTACATAAAATTCAAATGGTCTATGCCTATTAAAGACAGGAATTCGGTTGATAGAAAAGCAAGGTCCAACTAACAAATAACATATCCATGCCCTTTTTTAGATAAACAGATACATACATTTTTCCACCCTGCTTTTTTTTACTTAGTATTATATCTTGGAGATCATTCCACAGTGATACAGACTATTCCAAATTCATTTTTTACAATTTATGGTATTCTGTGAATTCTATGAATTTTGTTGTGTTGATGTAGCATAGTCAGTCAATTTGTCCTCTACTGGTATGCATTTGGGTTGTTTCCATTCTTTTCCTGTTATAAATAGTGCTATGATTAATATCCTTTTGGATACCTCTTTTTGAATTTTTGCCAGATTTTGGGGGTAGGTTCCTAGAATCTGGGTCAAAGGATGAACACATTGTAATGTTGCTAAATATGCCCAGTGTTCCTTCCATAGAGCTTGTACCATTTTGTATAACCTACCCACAAAATCTGGCCTTGTATATCTCTGACCTCATCACAATTTATTCTGTCAATCTTCTGATTTTTTTTGACTAAACTAATAAATGAGAAATGGCATCTTGGTATATTTTTAATTTGTATTTTTCTTCTTGTGACTGAAGTTTGAATATCTTTTTTTCATATCCTTTGGTATGCTTTATCCCCCCAAAACTCATATTGCAATTTAATTGGAATTGTAACAGTATTAAGAGGTGGGACCTTTGAGAGGTGATTAGGCCATGAGGGCCTGCCCTCACAGGTGGGATTAATGCTGTTATAAAAGGGTGAATTTGGCCTCTTTTTGCTGCTTGGCCCTTTTACCTTCTGCCATGTAATGATCTAGCCTTCTTCCTCTCCAGAGGATGTGGCATTCACCGTGCCATCTTCTCAGAAGAGAAGGGCCTCACCAGACACCAAACCTGTTGGCGCTCTGATGAGCTGCCAGAACTGGGAGCCAAATAAGTTTCTCTTCATTATAAATTACTCAGTCTCAGGTACTCTGTTACAGCTGTACAATGGACTAAGATGTTCTTGAAGCCCATCTGTGTTTGATTTTTCCTGAGCTGTCTGATGATATGTCAATCCTACTTTCTATAAATTAGTTGGACTTTTTCTTTTCATTATTGTTATAGGGATGTTAAGCCCTTCCTGTGCTGTAAGTTGAAAATGTATATTTTTTTCATTTATCTTTTTGTTTTTTTGGAAGACAGAGTCTCACTCTGTCACCCAGGCTGGATTGCAGTGGTGTGATCTCGGCTCACTGCAGCCTCTCCCTCCTGGGTTCAAGCAGTTCTCCTGCCTCAGCCTCAGGAGTAGCTGAGATTACACATGTGTGCAGCCACCCCCAGCTAATTGTTTGTATTTTTTGTAGAGACAAGGTTTCGTTCGCCATGTTGGCCAGGCTGGTCTCAAACTCCTGACCTCAATTGATCCACCCACCTCGGCCTCCCAGAGTGCTGGGATTACAGGTGTGAGCCACTGGCCTCGGCCCTTTTTTTCATTTATCTTTTGCTTTGCATGTGGTGTTAATTTGTTTAATGCTTTTTTAAGCTGTGTAGATTTTTAAAATGTAATTAAAATATGTTAATGTTCCCCTATTGCTTCTGAGTTTCTTATCATAGTTAAACATTTCTCAGTAACCAAGTTATATGAGGATTTTTTTTTCTGATATTTGTCCTGTATAATTTTTAACATTTGGCTGTCCAGTATGAAGAAGTGAATTTTTCCCTGATTTGAGATGCTGTTTTTATCGTATACTAAATTTTCACATACTATTGTGGTCTCTTTTTGGATTTTCTATTGTTTCATTAGCCTATTTGTCTGTTCGTGTGCCAACACAATGTTGATTTAATTATAGAGGCTTTACAAAATTGGCTGGTCCCTTTTCATTTCTCTTGTTTCATGTTTGCCAGATACACAATTTTGTAATGAAATTGTCTACCCCCAGAAAAACTTGAAGATACTTTTACTGTATGTAAATGTGTAAATTAGTTAAGGGGAATTTAGCTCTTAACTTATTGAGGTATACACTTTATATACTTTATCTTCCTCCAGTAAAATGGCATTGGAACACTAACGCTGAATGAATGCTCATGTTATTGATGTCATGTGTTTTTGCTGTATTTTTAAAGCCTAGATGAGATTATTTTTATTAGTACTTCAAATTGTCAAAATTCGTTAGCCTATATATTTACTGATTTGCATCTTAGACCTTTCTTTCCAATTTAATTTCCCATGTTTTTGTAAACAATCTATATCTTTCTCTGTTTATCCACTGCTCTTTATTGGTATTTTATAGTTTATTATGATTAGCTAGATGTATAATTGTTTTATTTATCTCTATTGGCATTTTCTGGGCTCTCCTGAATTTATGGATTTGGATTTTTCGTCAGTTGCGAAAAATTCTCGTCCAGTTAATGTCTTTGCCACATTTCTTATTTCCCTTTTAGAACTATGATTAAACATGTATACTCCACCTCTGTGTTCCTTAACTCTTGCTTCTTGTGTTTTCCATTTCTTTGTCTTTCTGTAGGTACTCTGGATAATTTTTCAGATTTTTTCAGTGTACCAATTTTTTCTTCAGGTGTATCTAATCATCCATAAGATCTGCCTGTTGACTTTTAATTTCAGTGATTTTATTATTTCTGGAAGCATTTTGACTACTGATAATTTTATCTTGTTCTTTATATTTTCAATGTCATCATTTCTTAAACTATATAATACCCATATTTTATATTCTGTATGATTTTAATAAAGTCTCTGTGACTAACGTTCTTTTGGCCTTGTTCATAGTGCTGTGTTTCCTTGTATGTTGTGGTTTTTATTGTTCTTATCATTTTTTTTTGTTTATATTGTGTTTGTATTTTCTAGAATAAATTTATTTGTGGTAATTGAAGCCTGGATTGAAAGAATTTGCATTTGTTTTTGTCAGGTGCCTGGAGATATTACTAGCTTGGGACCAATATTAGTTAAATTCTTGGCTTGAGAATTTTTTGACCATGTAGGTATATGAATTCAGGTCACGACCTACATGAGAAGATTTTCAAAGTAGTTTTTTTTTTTTCCTATTTCTACTTAGCTCCAAGTTCACACTGGCAGTTTTCCTTCCAGTCTAGAAATGTGGGGAAGAATATACTGGTGTAGCTATTTGAATTTTTAGTCAAGGCAAGCTATTTTATCTAGCATTTTAATTGTTTTCAGAGGGAGAATCATTAAAGGTACCTAGTGACTCATACTATGGAAAATACAGTGTACAGTTTTCTTTAGTTTTGTCTGTACAATAGTCTCCCCTCATCTGTGGATTCACTTTCTGCGGTTTGTTACCCATAGTCAACCATGGTCCAAAAATGTTAAATAGAATATTCCAGAAATAATACATTTTAAAATTGCAAGCTATTCTGAGTAGCATGATGAAATCTCACACCATCCCAACTAGGATGTGCATTATCCCTTTGTTCAGTGTATCTACACTGTATACGCTACCTGCCCATTAGTCATTTCGTAGCCCTCTAGGTTATCAGATCAACTATCATGAGTATCACAGTGCTTGTGTTCAGGTAACCCTTATTTTACTTAATAATGGCCCCAAAGCCAAGAGTAGTGATGCCAGTAATTCATATATGCCAAAGAAAAGCTGTAAAGTGCTTCAGTTGAAAAGGTTAAAGTTCTCAACTTCAGAAAAAAAAAAAATTGTATGCTGAGGTTGCTAAAATCTCACAGTGAGAACAAATTTCCTATCTCTGAAATTGTGAGGGACAAAGAAATTCATGCTAGTTTTACTGTCACACCTCAAACCGCAAAATTTAAAGCCACATGGTGCATGTTAAGGTGCTTAGTTAAGATGGAAAAGGCGTTACATTTGTGAGTGGGAGACATGAACAGAAACATGTTCAAATTGATGAAAATTGGGTTAGGTGCTATCCGTGGTTTCAAGCATCCAGTGGGAGGGAAGGGGTCTGGTAATGTATCCCCTGTGGATAAGTGGGCACTAGTGTGTGTGTGTGTGTGTGTGTGTGTGTGTGTGTGTGTATGAAGAAAACCGTTAACTTTTTCCTCCCTCAGTAAAGATGTTACTGAAGAAAATATTTTGAAGATTAAGTGCATTAGAATAGTTGAGTATGTCAACGTTACCCACAATCAAATGCTCTTTGTTACTAAGTAGGACTGAATAGAAATTTCTGTAAGATACCAAACCTTCAGTTAGTATATATAGAAAGAGTTCTTAAAAGTTGAGTGTTTTAAATAAAATGTGGGTAAGAGTTTATTATATTATTGTTTGACTCACATAGAGTAGACCTAATTTTCCTTTACTTAAATTGGTAAGTGGATTTCTTTTATTTGGACAATTAAGTATCATATTTAGTGGAATTTTCCTATGGCAGATAAATGCACAAATCTTTCTTGTATTTTAGTGTAAAAATTACTAATATGCTACAGAAATCCAAAAAAGAGTAAGGGTTAGCAGAAGTCTAAGAGTTTGTTTATAAGTAGACCTGCACAGTTTAAATCTGCGTTATTCAAGGGGGAACTGTAAATCATTTTGTTTGGGAATATCCCGGATAATTATTTCAATTTAGGTAAGTGAACTGTACATAACTTACAATTTGGACTAAAATTTTTTTATAAATGTATAAACTGAACATATTAAACATGGTAAAAAATAATATATTAAACACATTTATTGTAGAAACATATTAAACATGTTCAACAGGAAAAACTGCTAAATATTATGATACAATAATACATTTTTGGAAAGAAATCTTTTGATGAGTTTAATCAGATTTTTAAAAAAATCTTCATAATTTAAGAATAATTAGCCTGTTACATTTCAACAAAATTGACATATGCATAGCTGAGCAGAACAAACCTCTGAAGATCTTGTGTTTCCTTATAGATTGTTGAAGAAAATCTGGATGGTGACATGTTAATAAATAATGGTTGTACTATGTTATTAATCAGCAAATACCTATGCACTAAGTGCCAGGAATTGTGCCAAGTGCTTTTCAAGAGGTAGTTACTATTATTGTGTTTTATAAATAAACTGAAGCATTGAGATATTAAGTAACTTGCTCAGGGTTACTCATCAATTAAGTAGTGGAGCTGAGATTCAAACCCAAACAGCTAGACCATGGGTCTGTAAAGGACCAGATACTAAATATTATAGGCTGTCTGCCTATAATAGGTCTGTGTTGTCACTGGTCAACTCTACCACTGTGGTATGAAAGCAGCTGTAGTCAATATGTAAATAAATGCATATGACTCTGTTCCAGTAATACCTTATATATTGGCACTGATCATTGAATTTCATGTAATTTTCACCCACCATGAAATACTGTTCTTTTGACTTAAAAAAATTTAAATATGGCTAACCATTCATTTCTCATGTACTATACAAAAACTGGCCTTGCTCGGGCCAGATTTGGCCTGTGAGCAGTAGTTTACCAGCCTTGCTGTAGACTGTTACTCATATTTTGGGCTTCTACTTTATACTATTTTGGACTCATTCATTCTGCACCCTACAGAGTTTTCTTCCGTAAGGAGAGCTATACAAGTTGATCTGTAAACATTTAGTTGACTATTTATACAGTCAATAGGAAATACAACAGGTTGGAAACAAGAGGTTTCTAATTCTACGTGTATTTCAGATTCTTATAGTAATTTCAGACTTTTCTTCATAAATACTTGCTGACTTCCTTAAAACTTCCTCTAAGGAAAAGGTTTGATGTGTTTTGCCTTTATTTGCTGTTACTTTGCATGTGGTTTTTCTCTTTTTAATATCATTATCATGGAGTTGGACCATGTTATTTAGGTAACTGGTAGTGGGGCATGCACACTACCATCTGTGCTTTAGATAGTACAGTCCAAACAGCAGTTTGTAAAGTTGGTAAGTAGTGGGTTCATTTCTGTGTTTTAGGAAGATAATAACTGCTGTGTTGAACATGGATTTTGAGTAAGTATGGAATGTCAAGAGTGGAGGTCCATTAGATGTTTAAAGATGAGATAG
This sequence comes from Homo sapiens, assembly GCF_000001405.40. NCBI lineage: Eukaryota > Metazoa > Chordata > Mammalia > Primates > Hominidae > Homo > Homo sapiens. Next base: position 88,111,156 of record NC_000003.12, read on the forward strand.
ATGTGAATTAGTGCTTTGTTACTAGGAATAGAGAAGATTCCAGAGATGCTTTTTGTTGGGCTTGTTTTATACTTATTAATAGTAAAAATGAAAAATTACAAAACGATTAATAACGAAAAATAATTCTCCCTTTCATTTCTGACCCCTAGTTCTTATTTACCCTTTGCAGAGTCAGTTGCTTTGTTGGATATCCTGCTAGATAGTCTGACAATGTATAAACTTTATGTATTGGTATATATGTTCCCCCACCCCCTGACCCCTCACCTCCATTCCCATTTACACAAAGATAATGTAATGAATATATATCTCTGGGTCTTTGCTTAACAATATATCTTGGAATTTTTTAATTCATATAGATGTAGCTATATTCTCACTAATGTTCCGTTAATATTTGTATTATATTTCATTGTATGGATATATTTAATTTACCTAGTACCCTATGGTAGACATTCTGAATATTTCCAGTTTTTTGCTTCTATAAACCATTTGTAATGTATATTGTTGTTTCTGTCTTTGAGCTTATATATGTATATTTCGAGGATGAAATTTCTATAAGTAGAACTGCTAGGTCAAATGGTATGTGTACATTTTAAATTGTGATGAGTATAGGAACATTTACATTCCCTCCAACAAGATTATCAGGTCCTGTTTCTATACACCAAAGCCATCATAGAATACATCATCTCTTTTATTTTCATAAATATGAGAGGAGAAATGGCATTTAATCTTTATAATTTTGGCCTAATAATGAATAAGAGCATGTTTTTCTATTGGAAAACAAATCCACTTGCATTTACTTTCTGCGAAATATTCTCTTGCAGTTTTCTACTAGGTTATTGACTTTTTTAACCTAACTTCTAGAAGCATTTAAATTAAGGAAATCATCAAAGAATATTTTTCAGTGTATCAGTTTGCTTTTGATTGGTTTTACGTTTTTTGGTCTGTTGATATTTTAAAATTTGTAGTAGTCAAATTTATAAAAACGTCAGGTTATGGAGTATGGTGATTGTGCTATAAATGTGTAATTTTGTAATATTTAGGTCTTATATAATTTTAAAAGCATATATATTCTCATGTTTACATTTTATAATTTTAGTCTATTAGTGATTTGTTTTGATTAAAAGCAAAAACTATTAAAAAAACAACTTTAGGTAGTTACACTTGAGGATCTGCTAGATGAATTAAGATCTAAGATTTAGAGGGATTTGTCACTTGTACTACTTTAGGATTGCTAAATAATAAATAATTTTATAATTTTCCATGCTCATGATTAGGAAATCATTCATGTTCCTTTCTTTATGAATCATAAATTATTAAGAGCACATAAAGTATTTAGTAACAGTATTTCCAAATAATTTATTTAAAAAGGAGGAACTACAGAATTTGAGCCATCCTGTTATGAGTGGGATAATCAAGGTAAGCTTAGTGTGAGGAACCATGTGTCATTTATTAGATATGGTTGTTAGTATATGCTATAATATAAATGTTGGCCGAGAGTTTTATGGTGATTTTCTAACTTATGTTTTTGTGTTAATTTTATTCAACTCTTGTATCACCCTGAAAAAAATGAGATTTTGGATTTTCTCTGGAGTCCCATTATATTAGGGTGAAGCTGGACTTTGGGTTCATTTTAGATGATCCTTGTGTATATAGCTATCATTGTTGTGACCTTGTATGCCATTAAATTGTATTGCATTGTGGTCATTAGTAGGCATGAGTAGTATAATTGTTTCATTCTATAGTTCTAAAACTTAAGTATATTTCTTTGTATTTTCCTTGAAGGCACTTCTTTTAAAATCTTACAGAAAACATAATATGAATTCTAGTGTTCAGTACAATTTTTTAAACCAAAATATTTTAAGTCAAATATTGATATTAGATAGCTGATACTGTTTGATAATCTTTTAATTGGAGCAAAACTCAAAGAAGCAATGAAAGTTATTCACTTATTCTTTCTAGGAGTTTCTTTGAGTTGCTGCTGTTCTTTGGAAGAGATGAGTTTTATGAAGAGCCCTTAAAGGATATTCTTGGATCATTCCAGGTAAAAAACAGTTTACTACTTCACACTTTGTCTACACTTAAAATAGACCATTATGCTCCCCCTAAATATAGCTTATTGGTTATTATTGCTTATAAGTTTTTAATGATTGCTAAGGTGACAGTGTTTAAGATCCTATTATTACTGGCTGATAAAGAAAATTCATACAATTAATTTTTAACTGTATTTCCAAGCAGTTCATAGCTGGAATTCCTATTCTACATTTGTTAGAAAAGAGCCTGCTACCACCCTTGTGGATTCCTAGAACTTAGTCCTGGTGAAAAACGATTCTTCTTTGCCAGACTTGAAGTAAGCTGTCTATCCCATGCCACTTTTTCCCTTGGCTGTACCTTGATTTTCTCTCTCATAATAGCTTTCCGAAGCTAGGAGACAGAAGATTTTTTTTTATTTTTGGGCACCTGGTATAGGAGAGAAGAGAGTAAATTCAGATGGGAATGACAAAAGAGTCAAGACCTCTCCTGTAGATGAAAGACATTTGATCTTTTTACTACTTACTGGGAAGCAACCCTGACCCACTCGGTGAAGTAAAGGAAGATGTACTTTGAGCTCCCCCTAGGGGTGAAGTGTCCCTGATCACCCATTTAGAACTGAAATATACAGACAACATATCTTATATTTGTTAACCATGGTGTTAAAGGCTTATAGACAACCAGTACTGCTGTATTAGGTACGTTATATTGAACATTCTACTTTAACCATTCTTACCTTCAGCAAAAGAGGTAAAAATACCTGTTTTCATGGAACTTATGTTCCAATTAGAGTATATATTCAAGTATTTAAAACTTACTAATTTTCCATTCTCCGTAATCCATTCTTAAACTTTTACTTGGCAAATGTTTATTGAGTCCCCACAGTGTGCTAATGCACTAAGGTCTAAGAAAAACAGTAGTAAGCAAAACAGAAAAAATCTTCCTATTGTGGAGTTATTAATGATTCTGGCATAGGGACAGAAAGACAATCAAACCTTTATAAATGAAAAATTGACAGATTCCTTAGAGAAAAATAAAGGAGGATGGGGATAGTGCTGGCATGGTGATATTGGGGAAGGATATTTCAGTATTAAATGGGGAGGTAAAGAAATACCTCATAGAGATGTTGGCTGACCACTGATAATGGGAACCACTGAAATGTTTGGAGTAGATGAGGGACAATATTTAACTTCCACTTTAAATGTATGAAAAACATAACATTTGTGAAGGGATATATCCTTTATTTTTTCCCTTGTAAGCAGGGTGCCCATTCAGTTATCAAAATAATAAATTTCTCAAGGAAAAGTTAGCGGTTTTGCATACTTTTCTATCTCCTGCTCTGATCCTTTGACACTCTCTAATCCTGGCTGATTCTAATTTCCATATACTACCTGCCTCCCCCAGCCTTTTAAAAATCTCTGCCATTTCTGCCACTTTTGTTACTGTGGCTTCTTCCTACTCTGAATTTCCTTGAGCCTCTAACTCCTATCTTCTAGGATAGGTTTCACCTTTTGCTGTCATGTTATCTTTACCTAGAGAAACATCCTTCATTTGCTGACCTGAGCTTATGCTGTGGGTGCTTCCCAGGCCTGTGCCCTTAGGAACTCAGGAAGGGCCAACATGTAGTCCATCATGTATACCTCCCTAAAACCTTGTATTTTCCAAGCTTATGAATTCTCCAGGCTTTTGACTGACACTGATAATAGTGACCAATAGTGATAAGTGACTAATTCAGTGACAACCCCAAATGTAACTTTTTGAAATATTTTTCATAAATTATACTGTGCAAGTTAAGTGCAAACCCTAGCTCCGCAGTGGTTCTTCTCCATACATCTTTCATACAGATTCATACCAGCATAAGATGGTGTTCTTTCTCGTCTCCCATAAGTAGGACAAACACAGTCCTACTCATATTTTAATGTACATAAAGATCACCTGGGGATCTTGTTAAAATTTAGATTATGAATCAGTAGTTGTGGGAGGGGACCTGATAGTCTGCATTTCTGATAAGCTCCAAGGTGATATTAATGCTGCTAGTCCCTGAACCACACTTTGAATACCAAGGTATTCTTTGTTGGATTTGAGTTAACTTCTCTTTCCCCCCGCTGTATTTCAACTGTGAGTTTACCAGCTTTGCTGCTTACACTGTGTCATCCTGGGCAAGTTTCATAATTTCTGTACCAGTTTCTTTATTTGTAAAATGGAGGCAATAACTATACTTGCTGCATAGTCACTTTATGGGTTAAATGAGTAAAGTGCTTGGCATAATTCCTGGCAAAATGATCATGTCACTGTTTTTAAGGTAGGCAGTAGAGCCTGTCTGGTGAAGGGTATGGGTTCTCAAGTCTTACTACTTGGATTTTTATTTTTACAATAATACCAAAACCAAGCTATTAGATTTATTATTTTCTTCCATGAATTTCTGATCTCCTAAAATCTGAGTTGTTCAAGTAGAAATTTTTAACTCTTCTTACCTATAATTTTTCCTCTCCGTTATTTCTAGAAGAAACTTCATTCTTAGAGCCAAATGTTCCATTTACTGGCTTCCGAAAGTTTTCTTCTTAGCCTTTTACTTCCAGTAGTTTTTGTTTGCATTTCTCATATGATGCATCTGCCTCATCATCATCATTATATCTAGCAGTTTTCGAGATTCCCAATGAAGTGACAAAAATAATGTAAAATGAGGGAAAATAATAATGATAAATGCTGGAAATTAGGATGGGAACTTTATGTCAGTTGCTCAGGGATGAAGCCAGATTGACAGATGGGCCAAACAATACTTGATTGACTGAATGCGATGAAACAGGGAAATGTGTGAGAGAGGAAAAGATAATATAGAGAGAAAGAGAGAACTTCCACTGGTATCCAGTCATGTCCCCCTCTATCCCCTGCTTGTAACAACAAGGGCTGGAGGAAATAGCAGGTGGTAGGGATTTGGGGTGTGGTCAATCTCATTCTTGTTGCTGCTTCTCAGAAGTGCATCAGGCATGCAGCAGAGCCTAAAGGACAGAAATCCTGAGTGACTTTTATACCCACATTAAAAATAAGATATATGGGCCAGGCATAGTGGTTCACCCCTGTAATCCCAGCACTTTGGGAGGCCGAGGCGGGCAGATCACCTGAGGGTGGGAACTCGAGACCAGCCTGACCAACATGGAGAAAACTCGTCCCTACTAAAAATACAAAATTAGCAGGTCGTGGCGGCTCATGCCTGTAATCCCAGCTACTTGGGAGGCTGAGGCAGGAGAATCGCTTGAACCTGAGAGGCAGAGGTTGCAGTGAGCCGAGATCACACCATCGCACTCCATCCAGCCAGGGCAACAAGAGCGAAACTCTGTCTCAAAAGAAAAAAAAATACATACATACATACATATATATACACACACACACACACATGCACATATATTATATATATGTGTGTATATATGTTGTGTGTGTGTGTGTATATATATGTATATATATGGCTTTTCATGAGAGCATTCTTCCCACTGAGAGAATGAGGGTATGATCCAAACTAAATGCAGCCAGCCCCATTACCCAGAGGTAAGAAAGTCTTATAAGAGAGGTGTGGTTGTCTTTCACTGAAGCATCCTCTTTACTCTCTCATAGGCCATGATCTACTAAATTAAACTGTAGTACATGTAAACTTTCTTCTTCTCTCTTTGTTTGGGCATGAAGGATTTGACAGAGACTTATTCACCTGCTAGTAAAACAGTTCTCTGTTCTAGATGTTCTAGGTAAAGATGACTAAAGAGGATAAATACCTCAGTTATCATCAGTTAACTGGAAAGATAAGACAGTTTAAAAAAATTTTTTCTTAAAGGATCTGTTACGTTTTTGCTGAGGTTGAGTTTATAATATCTTCCATGAATATAAGTGAAATTGCAAAGAAGGGACAACCCGAAAGAACATACAGAGGTAAAATATTATATAGAGATGGAACTATCAAATTGAAAGTACAGTGAAGGCAATTAGCAGATTAACTCCAGTAAAAACCAAATTAATGAAGGAAATAATATCTAAAATGTAATTTAATTTTCAACTCATAATTACTTACAGACATAACTTGATTCTACTTTTTAATTTTGGGGATAAAGGAAAGTTCCTGAAAATGTAGGACTCATGTAGAACAAACAGGATTCCCACAAAGGAAAAAATCAAATCAGGCTGGCAATAAAATTCTCTATAGTAACAAATGCCAGCATAAATAATGTCTGGATTTTTTTAAGAGGAAAAATATGATTTAATAATATAGTTGTCAAGCCCTATAGTTTATAAGATAGAGCAACAGAAATAAATAGTCTAAATACTTGGAAACAAACTGATGACAGGTCTTTTATCAGGACAACAAAGTAGTATGCCAGGTGATCAAAATAAAGAATTTACAAATGGGGTCATTACAGAATAAAAGAAATAGGACTGACCTGAGGAAAAAATAAGGCATTTTTATTATGGTTATCATGAAGAATCCATTAATGTCTAATGATTCCAGAAAAGGAAAATACAAATTGTAAAAAGCACACACAATAATCTGGAACTAGGATCTCAGATTATGGTATTGATTGGATGGAGATAAGGAAGATAGAATCAAATGTATTTTTGGGCATCTATGCGGAAATAACTACAGGGTGGTGACATTTGTTAAGGGAGCAGTGATTATATAAGGGGAAGTGCAGCATAGAGAAAGTTGTTAAGTTTCATTCTAGACACACTGAGTTTTAAATGTCTGGAACTTACCAGTACTATTGCCCAATAGATGATTAAAAAAAAAAAACAACCAAGAACATTTACTACTTTTATAAATTAAGAGAAACATAGATGTTTTAGTTGTTGTTGTTGTTTTAATAATAAGGGAAAAAAGCAACTGTGGGGTAGTAACTGAAATGCCAACTAAACCAGTAATCTAAAAGTCTTACTACCAAAGCTCTGCAAGTGGTTTAATGAGCCTGCCCTGACGTTAGAGAAAAGTCTATCCTTATCCGGTGAAGCCAGTATATAAGTCGCAAAGATCTTTTTTGTTCAGGCTAGAAGTAGGCCTTAATAAAGCCTTCTTTCCCTGAGACACAACCTGTTTTTTATTTGCTTGTCCTTTGGGTCAGTCAGGAAAGGGAGTTAGGAGGTGGTATGGGATATCATGTCCCAAGCAGGAGGCTCAACGCTATCTCACTGCGTAATATACCATAGGAGAAGTGGAAAAAATCATCAAAGGTAAAAGAGCCAGCCACATGAAAGGAGTTGAAAAGCCCACCCTCCTTTGTGGGGCAAGTGTTGATCTCCCCTAAGAAATGAGTGTATAGTCATCATAAACCAGCAAACCTCCCAGATTTTATTATTTTTAGCTAAGATGAAGACGTTTAGAACTACTGACTTTCCACTAAAACCTCAAAACCTGGACCATGGCCCTTCTCTAGAGTACTTGGAATAAGTTTCCCAAAGACTTAATTTGGGAAGGTCCTAATCTTGGTAGTCACAACAACCTTTGTAGTGCTAGCTAAAAGGCTTTAAAAGAAAACAACCATATCAGCTTAATAGCAAAGCATTTTTTGAGGCGAATTTTCAAAACTGTGCTACCATATTTTCTGCTCAAATAATTCTCTCTTGGGTCTACTCAACTGCACTTTGACTGTGTGACAAATCAAAACCACAATGAGATACCATCTCACACCAGTTAGAATGGCAATCATTAAAAAGTCAGGAAACAACAGGTGCTGGAGAGGATGTGGAGAAATAGGAACACTTTTACACTGTTGGTGGGACTGTAAACTAGTTCAACCATTGTGGAAGTCAGTGTGGCGATTCCTCAGGGATCTAGAACTGGAAATACCATTTGACCCAGCCATCCCATTACTGGGTATATACCCAAAGGACTATAAATCATGCTGCTATAAAGACACATGCACACGTATGTTTACTGCGGCATTATTCACAATAGCAAAGACTTGGAACCAACCCAAATGTCCAACAATGATAGACTGGATTAAGAAAATGTGGCACATACACACCATGGAATACTATGCAGCCATAAAAAATGATGAGTTCATGTCCTTTGTAGGGACATGGATGAAATTGGAAATCATCATTCTCAGTAAACTATCGCAAGAACAAAAAACCAAACACTGCATATTCTCACTCATAGGTGGGAATTGAACAATGAGAACACATGGACATAGGAAGGGGAACATCACACTCTGGGGACTGTTGTGGGGTGGGGGGAGGGGGGAGGGGGGAGGGATAGCATTGGGAGATATACCTAATGCTAGATGACGAGTTAGTGGGTGTGCGCACCAGCATGGCACATGTATACATATGTAACTAACCTGCACAATGTGCACGTGTACCCTAAAACTTAAAGTATAATAATAAATTAAAAAAAAAAAAACAATAATTATTGGAGACTAACTAGCCCACTTTGTAGCTTAGGCAGCACTGTGACCTGTTGCCTTGACTGACTCCAGTGTTCTTTCTGCTAAATCAAATTTTATATTTATTTCTTTGTATGCAAACCTGTGCTCAAAAAATCTTGCATGCACCTTAATTCTGCTTCAAGGCCTGTGTTAGGATGATGACAGTTGTTAGAACAGCGACAATTAATATGATAGCCATATTAATTCATTACTTATTTTAAAATGCTAATGATAGGGTTGTACTTCCATTAGCATGGCAACTACCAACTAATTTTGAAATATGACTATGCTGTTAGTTGATGGTTTTACCGTAGTTATGATTGGCTTCCTCTTCAGATAAAACTCTGCTAATTAAAAGTAGCATGTACATTTATTACTTTTTACTTATTAAACAAGGAATAATTATTCATATTTTAAATATTCTTTTTTTCAAGTCCCAAAAAGGATATCCTTAAATAGCTCAATAAATACATAATTCTACTTATTTAAAAAAAAATCAAATAATGTAACTTATAGGCATTCATATATTTTTATAATTTTGAGACTGAGAGTCATCTTAAAAATTATTAATCCAATTCCCTTATTTTACATATCTGAAAATTAAGTTGCAACAGAGTTGAGGTTTATAGAAGCAGAATGAGGGCCTAAGTCTTACTCTTAACCCAGCATTCTAATTCTTTCTATGCCATATTCCCTAATCCATTATAAAAATATGCTTATATGTTTACAGTAATGTATATGGCAAAAGAACAGGTTTAAATGTTTTATTTATACTGCTATCTTGAGAGCTTTATTGTCTAAGCTTTTAAAACCTTCTAAAGACTGCCTTATTAGGAATGGGGAGGGATGAAGAAACTTTAGTTTGGTGATCTGAGTGGTAGTCGATAGAGGCCTAGACTAGAATGGTAATTGTAGAAATGGCAAGGAAGAAGCAAATCAGGAGATGGTGAAGAAAATTGACATGATAATCAATAGAAGACAAACATGAGTTTTACATTCAGCCCCAAACACAAATATAAAAACAAATAATACCTAAGACCAGGGTCTCCAGACTTCTGCTTTACTATACAGTTTTTAAAATACAGTTTGAGCACATATCCTCTTTATGCGTATATTACTTACGCACATGTACTCATACTATATACATTATAAAACAAAAGTACATTTAAAAAGGATGAAACTAAAATAATGTTTTAAATTCAACAGTATAAAGTCAGTGACATTAGTGTGATTATAGCGTATTTTTGAAAAATTTTCAAAATTACTGTATCACAGTGATATAGTAATTCAAAGTCTGATTTTAGGTTCAGTTTACTTTGATGTTTGGTCATAAGTTGAAAGGATACTTTTGATAGAAAATTTTCTTGTCTGAGCATTAGGACAAGTACCTAATGCATGTGGTGCTTAAAAGCTAGGTGATGGGTTGATAGGTGCAGAAAACCACCATGGTACGTGTATACCTATGTAACAAACCTGTATATTCAGCACATGTATCCCAGAACTTAAAGTAAAATAAATAATAAATCCAAACAAAGATGAGCAAAATAAAAAAAAAGAAAATTTTCCTTTCTGAATCATGATGCTCAGTTTAAAATGCCTTCCGTGAATTATGCAAAATTTGACTACCAAATTTGTATTCCTAAAGTCAATCTATGTTTTCTTTAATACTAACCACTTTTAACAATGAATTAAAAACTCATTAAAATGTTCCAGTTGAAAATTTTTTCAACAGAAAATTCTTAAGTTTTTTAATGGCATAATAGAAGCATTATACATGACATACTGATTTTTGGCAACAGCAATCATGTAATAAATGCAGATACTTCCAAATGTTCATTTTAAATCATTTTCTTTGTAAAAACTTTCTATTGAAAAACAGTAACTTCTTTCATTGTTATAACTGTCCCCTTTATTTTATATGGGCAAGCTCAGAATGATTAATTTTTGAAAATACCAGGTAAATATTCCTCAGGAACCTATCATAAAAAAAGAATGGCAAATTAAACATGATTGCCTTTTTGTAAAGGAAAAATGCATAACATCCTTAAATTTTATAACTTTATGAAGTGCTTTGCTATGAGATAACCAATCAATGTGTAATAAGATTTATGATTATTCTCATCTCATTTCAAAGTATTATAAAGACTACTGTATTTCAAAGATTACGTTTTTATAATATTAACCATATTGAAGACCTTTTACATTTTTGTCTTAATTTGCTGCAGTAACTTGCTTATGAGTGAATTGGATAGGTGGTGTTCTGTAGCTTTATTCTGGAATCTTCATTTCGTTCAGACTCCATAGTGCTTCCATTTACACAGATTTCCATAAAACCCTATTTTGATTAAAAAGTTACTTATTATTGAGAATGTATCTTCTCTGGCACACCTTTCCCTTCCTGTCTGTTTGAAAAAACTTTTAACCACCTAAGAAGATGTCAACACTTAAGATAGTAATGCAAGGCCTTCCTCTTACATAATAATGTAGCACAAATGTTCAATATGGCAGGAGAAGAAATTAAGTTTATTATGGATTAAGGTAGCTAGTAGAAGCTTCTTGGGGAAAGTGGGATTGTGTAAAGATAGGATTTAGATACGTTCATGGAAGTTGTAGGAGAATGACATGAGAAATGGCATAGGTAAGAAAAGACAAGGTGAATTTTGGGAGATGTGGAAGAGACCAGGCTGAAGAAAAGAATACATGATGTGCAATAGGTGAATGAGTAGGCAGGTAAGTCCAGAAGTCCTTAAATTTGAGATTAAAGTGGTAAGACTTTCATCCTATGATAAACTGCTGACGGATCCAGACCAATTATGTAGAATGGCCAGAACACTGATCCATAGCTTCACAGACACATGTTGTAGGTGCCTTCTCTAAAATGGCAACCAGTTCAGGGAAAAGAATCTTCCTTTTGGGGTAAAATATTAAGAAATGTATTCTGAAAGAAGTGAGGGAGTTGTATTTTCGCTCTACCTTTGGCCAAGACACAAAGTTGAATGGAAGTAATTAAGGGGATTATATTTAGCACAGTGTAATGTGGGTATCAATAATAGTAGACTGATGACTTAATAAAGGATTAAGTTGATATAGAGGCACAATTTATTATTTAAGTAAATATTCTAGAAAAATACAATATGTATGGCTGGGTACGGTGGCTCATACCTGTAATCCCAGCACTTTGGGAAACCGAGGTGGGCAGATCACCTGAGGTGAGGAGTTCGATACCAGCCTGGCCAGCATGGTGAAACCCTGTCTCTACTAATAATACAAAAATTAGCTAGGCATGGTGGTGGGCGCCTGTAATCTCAGCTACTCAGGAGGGTGAGGCAGGAGAAACACTTGAACCTGGGAGGCCGAGGTTGCAGTGAGCCAAGGTTGCACCATTGCACTCCTGCCTGGGCGACAGAGTGAGGCTCTGAGTCTCAAAAAAAAAAAAAAAGTAAAAAGAAAAAAAGAAAAATACAATGTGTATATATACCCTAGGAGAGAATAAGTTGTGCATTCTACAGTAATTTAAGTGCTTCCTTATTCACTTCGAGGTTTTAAATTGAATATCATCCAAAAAAGCCACTATTCTATTTAAGGAACGAGGAGCCAAAAAATACTTGTAAGCTTATTGTTCTTTCTTCCTTTGTCTTTTTAAATAGACCAAAATGAAATCTTTATTTCATCTGTTTCCTATCCTGAGCTGTTTTCCATAAGAGTGGTCTCCAAAATATGGTATTTTTGACCCACGAAGTGTACATACACAAAAACACCATTTATAATTAATTTTTATCTTAGAAAAATGAATGGAAGCTAGTTTACTAATTTTTAACAAAGATTGGCAAGAGTCAAGTATATAATTCATAATGTAATCATTTATGGGAGTAGACACTAAGTGTGGGAGGTGTAATATTAAAAGTGTCCCATAGTTGCCTGTGGGTGGGAGTTGTTAAATATTCAAATTATCAGGGCTTTCCCCTAGAAATTCTGATTCAGTAGGTCTAAATTAGGTCCTAGGAATCTGTTTTTTAAAAAGAGCTCTAAGTGTTTCTTATTTTCAGCCAACTTCAGGAAGTTGGAAATACATCTTGACTTAGTCCTAAGTCCAGTTCTAAGTCCCATAGTACTGACTGATGCCTCACCTATCCTTAGACAACTAGAAAGATGGATTGTCCCAGGACTGAGCAGCAGAACTAAGCTCACCAATGACTCAGGGACTAGTGTCCAACTTACCTTATTTCTCATGCTTTGATTGGACCAAAAGCTAGCTTAGAGTAGTTGAATTTTCGGGGCAGTCATCTGTATGTCTAGAGTAATTTGGGAGCTTGCTACCTTGCTTACCTTGGGAGGTTTCAGTTGATCATTGTTTTAACCCATGAAGCTGTTCCCAAGAATCATTACAGTGTTCCATGTATGTTAAATTCATGGCTGATCAATACCTTTATATTTACCCCATATTTAATGAATGCTTTAACATGGTGACATGTGGAAATGCAGAAATTTCATGCCAAGGAAACTAGATGCCCTAAAATAAGATATTTATTCGAACTGTTAAAATACTAGAAGAAATAATAGCTAATGTCTTTTGAGCGCTTACTAGGTGCTAGGCACTGTTCCAAGCACTTTCTAGTACTGTATATTATTACTTCATCCTCACAACAATCCTATGAAGTAGGTGTTTTAGTATCCATTTTACAGAGGAATTGACTGATAGAGCAGAGAGGTTAAGTAACTTGCCCATTGTTGGTAGGATTTTTGTTTGCTTGATTGCTTAATTTGGGACCAACCTTAAATAACTTAGAAGATATTTATTTTCATAATGTTTGACTATAAGTGATGTTTTGACTGGACTGAATGATTATTTTAAAACTTGGTTTCTTCTACTACTTTCTTCTCTCATAAAACAAGTAAAACCTCTTTTGTATATTTTAACCAGGAATGCAACGTGGCATATATAAATCACTTTATAATCTCAGCAAATTATGAAAGAATATGACAGTTTAATAAAAGCAAAGTGTTTGTAGCCACTTTGAATATGTAGCCTTGATTCATCTAATAAGTAACATTTCTGAAAATATGTTTTTTTAAATTCTGAAGCTTTGCTTTATAACTGCTACTACGTTTTTAATATCAGAGATTTTGTGAGCACAGAATTAAATTCTGGCAATTGCTTGTGTTTTGATTGATGTACAATACTCAGTTTTTTTTTTTTCAACATTGCCAGTTTCTACATCTAGTTTTTTCTTAACGCTTTAAGCTCTATTTATGCATTTTTGAAAATAATACTTTTACTAGATATTCAGTTAATCTTTCTAAATTGTCAAATTCGATTCTCTGAACCATTTTAAAAAACAATACCTTGGCCAGACACGGTGGCTCACGCCTGTAATCCCAGCACTTTGGGAGGCCGAGGCAGGCGGATCATGAGGTCAAGAGATTGAGACTATCCTGGCTAACACGGTGAAACTCTGTCTCTACTAAAAATACAAAAAATTAGCTGGGCATGGTGACACGCGCCTGTAGTCCCAGCTACTTGGGAGGCTGAGGCAGGAGAATCGCTTGAACCTGGGAGGCAGAGGTTGCAGTGAGCCAAGATCGTGCCACTGCACTCCAGCCTGGGCATCAAAGTTAAGACTCCATCTCAAAAAAAAAAACAAAAAAACAAAAAAAAACCAATATCTAATAAAGTATGTAATGAGCCAAAAAGCATAATCAAACTATACAGATCTTATAAATCTAGATCTAATAAATGAGATTTATATATTCAGTAAACTAAGACTCATTGCATACAAACTTGTTACAAATTTCATGTTATAATGACAAGTCCAAGCAGATTCTCTGAAAAACATTTCAAATATCTTTTTTTAAAAACCTAGAAAATGTATGGACAAATTCACAACTATTGCCCAACTTAACAATACATCTTTATCTTAAATCTAAAGCAAAGTAGAGGTTGGATTTACTTATTTATAGATTTATTTCTTTAACCTGTCATTTTTTTAATCCCAGAACTGCAAATCTAATTATCCAACAAAGGGAAACAGAATCTCCATCTTCCAGCCTTCTACCACGATTTAGATTATATATTTGGGATCAGGACAGGAGACTTTTGTCTACCTGCCAGCCAGAGAGAGACTTTACATTTAGCAGACACCCCACGCCCCCTGCCCTACCACGCTCTCTTTTTCTTATCAGGCTCTTGCCTGCCATTGTTAAGAGAAATTTTATGAACCTTTATATAAATTTAACTGAACATTTAAGTTTCAGTTTTTTGCAACCTGGTTCTTTTCCTAGAAATGATGTGTCCTTTAGGTTACACGTCATCCCTATTTGGGATTTTCTAAGTCCAGTTATACAGATACTGCTGTATAACCTTTGGCATTAAAGCCTATTTGTGTTCATGGGGTTTCGACACCCTACTTAGGTTACAATAGTAACCCTTTCTCTTTTATAATTTAATAGCTGCCTCACTGGCCATCAGTCATTTTATTGACAATGATGATCAAGTTTAGTTTTTAACCCCTTTAAATTCACAGAGCCAAAATGATTTTTCTCTCCTAGGAATGCCAGAATCACCTCCGCAGATATGGAAATGTGAATCTGGAACTGGTGACTCGAATCATTAGAGATGGTGGCCCATGGGAAGATCCAGTGTTGCAAGCTGTCCTTAAAGCTCAGCCAGCATCTCAGGAGATAGGTACTTCAGGAGATTCAAAATCAAACCAACATTTGTGAGAAGCAAATACACTTTCATTTACTAACTAGAGCAGTAATAGTAATTTTTCTTCATTTTATAATACTGAATAATGGGAGTGATGTATTTTCACATGAAAAGTGTTTGTTTTTCTAAACTGGCCCAAAGTGACTTCTGACACCTGGATCGGTACATTTATTTCTTGTAATGGAAATTCTCAGTGGTAACACATCTACTAGATGTTATTTATTTACAGAGAGTGTATTTTTGTCACTTCAGTTATATTATTAAAATTTGTTTAAGTAGAAACATCTTTTTTTTTTTTTTTTTTTTTTTTTAAGAAACAAAAAGTCTGCTTTTCATGAAAGCACATGGAATCTCACTTCCCTTACACAGGAAACTTAATGAGGGCTGGAACTCTGAATTTTTGTCACTACTACTGCATATCCTATAGCTAGCCCAGTGCTTGGTACAGAGTAGATGCTTAATATAAGTATTTGTTGATTGAATGAATGACCACATGATGAATGTGTGAGTGAATAAGTGACTAACTGAATGAATAAATTTGAATTCTAGAGCAGTATTTCCCAAACTTCATGCATTAGAAGTTTTGTCTTATACCCTTACTACCTGCATATTTCTTTGATATCACCTCCTGTCCAATCTGATTTAACAGCGGTCCTTTGTAGGCCAAAATTTCCTTTCAAGGCAGGAGGCTTTGTCAACTGCTGTTAATTCTTTTTTAAAATGTTCCCCATATCATTCCTGAACCCCAGAACATTTTGGATCACCAAAACTGTAGAATGTAAGCTCAGTAACAGTGAATAAGCACTAAAGTGTAGAAAACATTTAAAAGTGTGGAGAGAGCCAATGGAGTTTAGTTATGAGACAGCCAAGGGGAAAAAAACAAGACCTCCCAACCCTGGAACCAGTTAGACCTTGGTTTTGTGAAAAAGACATTTCATACCACAAATTTTGTTGAGCAGGTTATTTCTGTTAGTCACAGGCTAAGGGGTTAGGGTGGGTTGTGAATGCAGTTAAGTGGAGGAGGAGCTGTGAAGGGATGGGAGGTGGGACAAGACTAGGAGGATAGGGCTAAGGTATACGTGACAGTGTTATGAAGAACCCAAGGGGTAAAAAGGACACTGGTGTTTGATGTGTGGATCTTGGAAAGGGAGTTAAAAAAAAAACTAAAAGGGAGAGAGTTGTTGCTGAGGAGGAAGAGTTGGATTACTGAAGAAGTATGAAGAGTCAAATATAGGGAAGGCAAGGGTGACAGACTAGAGGAAATTATGAGGAGACTGCATGTGCCCAGAGGGGAAGAAGCTAGACAAAGACAGAGTTTCAAGAGAAGTGAGGACAGGGGAGAAGAAAGTTTGAGCTTTTAAGGGATAGATTTAGGCTTCACTCGTAGGATCTAGAATAAACCTGTTGTTCGTTCGTCTGAGGGCTGATGGCCTTTTAGGCTGGGAATTACATTAAAATAATAAATACTCCTTTGATACCTATACTAGCATACCTCACACTTTGGGAAAAGCTGCTCTAGAGCCTCATTGATATGGATGACTTTTCTCTAGTTGGTGATCATTAGGGGAAAGACCAGAGTGAAGTTATCTTTGCATTAACAATACAAATCAGTGTTTGCATATCATATATTGTAAACAGAATTGCAAGACAAATTTTTAAGTCAAAATAAAACATTTGTAAGCACTTTAGAAGCTACTGATTAAATATAAGTAATTAAAATACTTCTGGATTCAAAATCATAAAAATACGGGTTCCAGTTCCTGCTCTGCCACTTAATTATTTGTCCTTGGGCAAGTCATTTGACCTCTCTGAGACTCAGTTTTGCAATCTATAAAGCTAGTATCATAATACCCATCATAAGGTTGTTGTTAGGTCTAAATAAATTTATTTAGCTAATGGTGTTTATATATTTTAAAATTGTGTAAAGTATTAATTAGTAATTATCCTTAGTAATACATAAATGTATATTAATAAGCAGTCCTATTTGGCACTACTTTTGGATTAATTTTATCTTTAAATAAAATATATTTTTCTTGTGATTCAACTTTTTCATTAATTCAGATTACATCTCTATAATTAATGTGAACTAACATGGTTTTAATGTGACAGATTAGGATTCAGCCTTTTAATCTTAAAGAAAATATTGAGCAGTAAGAAGATAAAGTATGTAATCTTAGACTAAAAAGACATAGACCCATGTTACTTGGAACATATTTTAACATATTAATGAACTGAAAGAAGAAAAAAAATTTTTTTTTAAATTTTGTTTCTGTTATTTACTTTTTAGACTAAGAAATCAACAAATATTTCTTGAGCACTGTTTTGGTGTCACTCTTCTTTTCCTTTTTCCAACCATATAACTGAATATTTTCACAAATAAACTCCTACTAAGGAAAATGCTATTTAAGTAGTTAAATCTAATTAGAAACCATATTTTAGTGGTAAAGTTTCAAAGAACAAAGTTTGAGAGAATCTTTTCTTGAGAGTAATAGAGTCTGTTTTCTTTTTAATATAGTGAACAAATATTTAAGTTCTGAAAATCCACTGTTCTTTGAACTACGTGCCAGATACCTAATTGCTTGTGAACGCATACCCGAAGCAATGGCTCTTATTAAATCTTGTATAAATCACCCAGAAATCAGTAAAGACTTATACTTCCATCAAGCACTCTTCACATGTCTGTTTATGTCACCTGTAGAAGATCAGCTATTCCGGGAGGTATTGTTTGAGACTATTTTTGCCTATTACCATTTTAACCCTACCAAAAAAAAACCAAAAAAAAAAAGTAGCCCACTGTTGTTGTTAAATTCCTTTTACAGTAATGCCAAAGATTTAAGGATTACATTATCTGGATGTGTTTTCTTTTGGCACCATAACTTAAGGTCATGTTGAATTAGTCAAAATCTGATATTAACAAATGATGAAATCAATAAAATATACTCATTAATAAGTATTATTCACATTGCACTTTTGATGTGATGGAGAAGAGGTCAAATAAAAGTCAACAAGCTCACAGCTTGCCAGGAGTAAAAAAAAAAAAAAAAAAAAAAAACCCAAGAAGCATTATGATCTTGCCTTGAAAATAAAGTACTAGAGGTAAAATGCTCATGTTTATTTTGTTTCTTAAGGTGAAGGAATTAATCTTTTCCTAATATGGATCGTATGTACCTATAGGTTGTGGACATTAATGAGATTAAAAGTAGTCATTGTAAAATGTAGGTGCTGTACAGTGAAACTATGAAACCATGAAAATATTTCTGTACAAGTCATCATTGTCTTTGTAGAAGAAAACTAGAAATCTAAGCAATTTCTCTTGAATGTTTAAACATTTATTGCAACTAGC
This sequence comes from Homo sapiens, assembly GCF_000001405.40. Lineage (NCBI taxonomy): Eukaryota > Metazoa > Chordata > Mammalia > Primates > Hominidae > Homo > Homo sapiens. The sequence goes on from NC_000003.12 coordinate 88,129,637, forward strand.
TTCTTAGATATTTTTAATTATATGAACTGATTTCTCTTTTCCTCTTACAGCATTTATTGAAAACTGATTGTAAGAGTGGAATTGATATCATCTGTAATGCTGAAAAAGAAGGCAAAACTATGTTAGCCTTGCAACTCTGTGAATCCTTTCTTATTCCACAGCTCCAGAATGGGGATATGTACTGTATCTGGTAAGTGTTTGTAAATAAAGAAATTGAAATGGTAAGATGGGCAACAGAAAGGAAATTGCAGTTTGAACTTTGTTTTTTACATTGTATGAAAATGTCAAGCTACTTTTAAAAAAAAATTGATTGTGCAAGGAACAATAGTAGATTCTAAGAACTAGAGACTTTAAAAAGAAATGATAATGTGCCACTAAACTGATAGTGTAAATGTTTAAGGGATGTGCTATAATGAAACAGTGGTTTGAAATTAAATTTTAATTTGGAGTCTGAGTTTTTAAAACATTTAAAAGTTGCTAGTAGAATATATGAAGCAGCAGGTTTACCTAGCAATCATGTAATTTAAAATGTAATATGAGTGTTTTTAGGTAGCTAAAATAAAAACACTCTTCAGGGGCTATTAAGAATTTCTGTTTCCTCAGCTCCAGTACACCCATATACACACATACACACACAAAACTCTTACCACTTTGCTGTTTCATTAATTCTTAACAGAAAACTAGGTTTTATTTGCTAAACATAATCTGAAATGATCATGGGCTATAAACATTTTTTTAAATTCTCAATTAAATTAATAGCTTGAAGGCATATAGCTGCAAATCATAATACTTCAATATTCTTGGTTATTTTTTGTTTTTGTTTTTGTTTTTTGGAGACAGGGTTTCACTGTGTCTCTCAGGCTAGAATACAGTGGTGCGATCATGGCTCACTGCAGCCTCAACTTCTGGGCTCAAGTGATTTTCCCGCCTCAGCCTCCTCAGTAGCTGGGACTACAGATGTGTGCAACCATGCCCAGCTAATTTTTTTTTTTTTTTTTTGGTAGAGATGGGGATTCATTGTTTTGCCCAGGCCGGTTTGGAACTCCTTGGGCTCAAGTAAATCTGCCCTCCTCAGCCTCCCAAAGTGCTGGGATTATAGGCATGAGCCACTGTGCCTGGCCCTATTCTTGTTTTATAGATTAAAATCTTCAAACTCAGAGATAAGAGTCAAATAGCTAGTTAGGAGGAGACCTGGATCTGGAAACAGGTAAATTTGTTTTCTAGGGGTTACAGTATACCTTTAGTTAGATTATGCTAATTTTTATTTAAAATTATACCATGTAAATTGGAATTTCAAATAGAGAAAGGGATTAGGAGGTAGTGGTAAGACATACACACACCTTTATATACAGTTATGCAGCACTTAATGATGGGGATATATTCTAAGTAATATGTCAATAGGCAGTTTCCTTGTGTGAATATTGTAGAGATACAAACCTAGATGGTATATCCTACTGCACATCTGGGCTATATGATGTAGCCTGTTGCTCCTAGGCTACAAACCTGTATGGCAGTGTTACTGTACTGAATGCTGTAGGCAATTATAACACAATGGTAAGTATTTGTCTATGCAGACATATCTAAATATAGAAAAAGTACAGTAAAAATGATATTATAATCTTGTGTGACCACTGTTGTATACGCAGTCTTCTGTTCACTGAAATGTTGTTACACTGCGTATAACTGTAGTTTTTGAAGTATTATCATTTTTTGACATGTGGTTATTTGGAAACTGAAAATAGTCATGACAGTTATAATAGATCTTTTCCTATGGGAATAGAAATGTTCTCTGCCCTGAGCTATATCACACTATTTAAACAGGGTATCTTTAGTTCTTTCATTGTAATATACTCATAAATAAACTAGAAACAAGTATACACAAACACACACACAAACCCAGAAAAACACATTTTATTTTCTTATTCTCTTGGTAACCCATTTCTACTCTTTAGGGAAGGACCTAAATATTATAATGCCTGTCTTCTGGCTCCTGGCCACAGAAACCTTCTAAGAATAGAGGCTCAGTGTCTCCAGCTGCCTAACCAAAAAGGAGTCTTTAGCCTTCTTTTTGTCCCTTCCTTCTAAATAGCGTGGGTTATGATGGCCTACCCTCTTATTTCTTCTACCTCTTTTCTATATTTCTGAATGTTAAGGTCCCTTTTCTTCCTATTAAAAGTTAATTTTTACTGTAATTTGATGAGCAGGATTTTTTTTCAGCCTCCAAAGTCTGTGCTGTCTGTTTCATCCTGGCCTAGCCTATGAGTCAGCTTGTCATTTATCTCCCCTCTGTGTGAATAGAACCAGATCCACAGTTTTGCTGTATCCCAAACCAATGGGGCAAGTTGCTAAGCCCCTTTCTCCTTCACAATCATTAATAATAATAATAGCTGCAAATGTTTGCTGAGTGCTTCCTATATTCTTTGCTTTATATATGCACATGTCATTTAACCCAACAAGCTTATGGAAATAATACTGTGTTCAAGCCATTCAATATTGTGTTCAAGCCATTCAGCTAGTAAGTAGTGAAGCCAGGATTCAAACTTAGGCAGTCTTCCAGCCTCTGCTATATTAAAATTACTTAAAATAAATGGGTCAAGTTTGAAAAAAAAAATTCTGTATTGTAAGGGTGACTGACGTCATTATATAGGCTTTTTCCAGAAAGTAGATGACTTAATGGTAATATTAGTAGTTAATAGGGTCTTTTATTAGCTAGTTACCTGGGAAATGCGTTTGTACACTGAATGAGTGCTGTGTTTTCTAATGCACACATTGAATAAAGGAAAACGTGTATAAGCTTCATTAAACCTGCCCTTTTGGTCTTCTAAAAGAAGACTGTCAATGGTTTTCAGGATTTTTTTGTTGTTGGTTTTTGTTTTCCTTCAGAATCCACTGTACAACTAAAACCTCAGATCCCATGTTTTAAATCCAATCAAAATGGAGCTTCATAACACTATCCTAAGATTTCTGCTTTGCCTGCTTTAAAGCAAAAATCCATAGTGGTAGTCTTCTCTTGGCAAACTTATTAGGATATTGCAGTGTACCTATTACAGGCTTTCAACATTTAGGGGAAGTATATGCCAGACACTTCACCTAGGTGTTTCAATTATCTCTCTTAATTCTTTTAATAAAGATGCTGAATAGGAATAATCCCAACCTTTATGTGTAAGAAAACTGTATATAAAATAGATAACAGTCATACAGCTAGTAAGAAATGGAGTTGGAATTTGTACTAGTTAGTTTGCAAGTGATAGCATCTGTGCCTAAATAGGAAAACATTTAGGGTGCAGTATGAGCTACATGAAAGCTACATGGAAGGCCACAGGTAGTTCTCAAAGATAACTGCTACCAGGGACACTGATACTGCTAATGTTTTTCAAAATCTGTTTCTTTTCTGTCATTTGGCTTCAGCCTCTCTTGCTGTAGACCAGCAGGAACATCAACAAACCCCAAGCTTAATAGTTTAGAGTTGAGAACATTCCAGAGATTCTGACTAGCCTGACTGGGATCACTTTCCCGCCCCTGAATTAATATCTGAAGGGGAATGCAGAGGAGGGTCACATAGGAGACATGGCCACTGGTTTTCTACCTTTGTGTTTTAGGGCTTTTCCTAGAAAAGCATGGCTCATTGAATTGGGTGTGCCACTCCAATCACTGTATAATGCTGTATTGAGATTTAGGTCTCTCTTATTTCCAATTCCATGTTCTTGCCACTGCATCCACTAAACAATGTGTCATTGTGTATACTTACAGTATATTAATGGTTGGGGAAATAGGTAGGATCGATAAAATATAACAAGGAAGCATATGATAGGCATGAAATCAGTAAGAGGGATCTTTTCTGAAGTGTAGGTATCACTTTAGTTTGGGGTATTCATGAAGGCTTTCCTGAAGAGATACTTGATAGGGCCTTTGAAAGATAAGTTCATCTTAGGAATGAAGTACTTTCCAAATATAGCAGTCAGCATAAACAAAAGTGAGAATAAATGAAGCAGTTTAGCTGAGAGTTAGGAGTTCCTGAGATTCAAATCCTGAAACTCCTAACTCTACAACCCACATTTCTATTGCTGTTAACTTTATAGCATAAGCACTAAATGAAATATGATCACGGAGGCTGAAAACAGATCAGGTTAGAAACCACTGTAGAAATACATGTGTAAAATTAAAGGGCCTAAAAGGGTAACATTGAGAAAGAATGATAAAGCTGAGAGCAAAAGTATACTTGAAATGTAAAGACACTGCAAGATAAACAGATTAGAACCAGACCAGAATAGAGGAATGTTTAGTGTCACTGCCTGATCTAGGAAAAGATTATCAGTTTTGCAGGAATATGATTAGTTCTGAGTGGGTTCAGGTGATGGAAAGCAATATAAATTGAAACACCCAGGCATGAAAACTGGAAAGCAGTAAAAGCTAGAGATGTGGTAGGAAGGTATGAAACCTTGTGAGAGTTCTAAAAGAGTGTGAGTTAAAAAAAAAAAAGGTGGGGGGTAGTGGACTGAAACTTAATAAATAGCTAGTATGAAATGGAATTGGAATTTTGGTTTTACTACTCATATGTTGCTTGCTGTCATTTTCTGTTTTTGTCTGAGTACACTATGTGCACCCTCATGATGGTAATCAAGCTGTCCTTAGATTTAATACCTGTATGTGCTGAGTTCAAAGTATATGCTCATCACTTTTAAAAAATATTTTCATTAATTATTTTAATACTTTTAGATTATGATGCTTTGTACACTTTTATGACATGTTTTAAAGAATTCTAATTTGCTAAAATGTGACATCCAAATATATCAGCTCTATCATATGATTTGCCTTTGCCTAAAAACCCACCGCTCCTAGCCTTGTGCATCAAATAACAGTGGTCATATTTGAGAAAAGAATCTACCTATGAAATAGTTCAAATGGTCCATAACCTGTCTGTTTTAAAAGTACGATATCTGAAACATACTATTTCAGAATCAATACTATACTTACAGTTTTAATCGTTAGTACTTTTGATATCTTAATAAATTGAAAATGAAAAATATGAACCATTTCTTTATAGAGAGTCTACAACATTGTTTTCTAAATTTACAAGTAAAATATTAATTAAAGGCCAAAGTTTATTATTTTTAAGTAATATCAGTATTGGCACATTAGGATTAGAATTTCTGTTTTGATCTGATACTGGAGACATCTTAGGTATGCCAACATATTGTTGGAATTCATTCCTTACTACTGTATATTTGTGATTTCTGATATTTCTTCCTCTCCCAACTTGTTTTAGTCTCATATAGGTAGAAGAAGTAGTTTGGGGGTGAACGTAATACATATTTACACTCATATACATCCCAGCCAGGGCACTATAGAATCAGGGAAAGATAGCTAATGTCTGTATTTGAATAAACTGTATTTTTGATAATTCTCTTTTTTTCTCATTTACAGGGAGTTGATTTTCATATGGAGTAAACTACAGCTTAAATCTAATCCTTCAAAACAAGTTTTTGTAGATCAATGCTACCAGCTTTTAAGAACAGCAACTAATGTGAGAGTCATATTTCCTTTCATGAAAATCATCAAAGATGAGGTAAATAGGATATATTTGTCCCTTAAATTTAAAATTGAGTGACAGTTCACTGAAACTTGAATCTCTTTTGATAAAATTTATTTGATTTTAAAACTGAAGGAAAGGAGGATTTTAAGGCCACATTCTCCATACATTACATTCTCCTCTGCCCTAACTCCAAACTCTCAACATGGGAGGCTGATTTATTGTTACTTAAAATTTAACATGGAAGCAATTGCTTCCATTACAACCTTTTTTCTTATAATTAAATATTTGTTACTTTCAATATTATCCTAAATCCCATTTATAGAATCTTAACTAATTTGCAAATAAACTTGGTGTATCTATCAATAATACCACTTCACTGTCACAGAGAAACTTAGTTCCAGTTTTAGGTCTGCTGTTTACGTGTAAGGGAACAATGAATTCTGAGGTGTTTTTGAAACTTAAGGACAAAGTTTTTAAATTGTTTATTTGAAGTAATTGTAAAAATGTGTTACCTCTTTCTAAAAATAGTCCTGAGTCAAGTTTTACTTGGGCCACTTGCAAGTGAGTACAATCCTACATGAGTCTTACGTAGACATGAAAGTGGATCCTGCAGATCTTTTAGTTTTTCCCCCAAAATATCAATAAGACTTCGAGTATAAAGAGTAAAGCCACTTTACATTTTAGGTAGCACCATTAAACTGAATCTCTATGTTGGTTACTTTTAAATATATAAGGAGGTATCTATTAAATAATACATTTTAATTTTTTTATGTATTTATGCATTTATTACATTCATTATCACATCACTCATTAGATGTATGATCATGTAGTGATCATATTCCCATGATAATTTCGCTAACTGCATTTATGGTATGCTTATTAAATAGTGAAATATCATTCAAATGCATTCTCAAAGTAAACTCCTTCCAGCAAAAGAGGAAAACTATGTTACAGAACACGTCTTAACATTTGATGTGCATCAGAATCACCTGTAAAACTTAATTTTAAACAATAAAGATGTATCCATATTTTTGTACATATGAATCTTATTGGTACCAAAAATTGAGATATATTATTATAGAAAGTTTACAGTGTGAGGTTTTGCCAGTCATCACAGAGCTTTCTTATTTTCATATGTGGGGTAAACCTGCAAATATATTATAAAAGGAAAATTCAAAGATGAAATAAGAATTAAAAATATGATGCTTAATAGTTTATACTCTACTAAAAAGACTTTTATTTGTTGGAATAAATCATTCAATTGCCTCAGTACTGTGAAGAGTCATAAATACTGTGTGAGTTCAGGAGACATAGATGGCATATCTAAAAAGGGTTCACAGAGGAAATAATTTCAGCTGAGTTTTCAATGACATGAGGGTAGTACTAACATTTGTAGAGAATTTTGTAGTTTACAGAGCACTTTTTCCTCATTTTATTATTTGTTTTTCACAACCATCTGGTGACATTAAAGGGTAGCAGAGAAATATGGGGAAGTGGGTGGGGGATGAGACTAATGGCAGAGACTGTGTGTGTTAGGAGGAGTGGTTGTCGGAGATACTTAAAGGGATTTGAATGCAACAGTTCATTCATTTCATTGAACAAATTGAAAATTCATAAATATCCTGGAACCATCAAAAGATTTCAGGTAAGGAAGCAGCCTGTTCTCTTTTTGGATGATCTTAACATTTTTAAACTTGAGCATCTGTATACATGATAATTTTATGAGCCAAGATAGAGGATGTAGGCTGGGCGCGATGGCTTACACCAGTAATCCCAGTACTTTGGGATGCCGAGGTGGGCAGATCACTTGAGGCCAGAAGTTCAAGACCAGTCTGGCCAACATGGTGAAACCCCATCTCTACTAAAAATACAAAAATTAGCCAAGTGTGGTGGCTCACGCCTGTAGTCCCAGCTACTGGGGAGGCTGAGGCAGGAGAATTGCTTGAACCCGGGAGGCAGAGGTTGCAGTGAGCTGAGATCATGCCATTCTACTCCAGCCTGGGTGACAGTGCGAGACTCTGTCTCAAAAAAAAAAAAAAAAAAAAAAAAGGATGTAGATAGAAGTATGGAGAAAGAAAACGAATTCTGTTTTGAATGAATGGATTTTGATTTGCTGTATCTGAAAAATCTAGGTAGTAAAGTCTAATTATAATTGACATTTAGAAATCAGTAGTTGGAATTCAGAAAGGATTCCAAGTTGTAAATGATGGATTTATAGGAGCAAACTAAGTAAATGGAATAGGTCTGATTTTCACTCATTCTGCAAACATTTATTCAGAGGTTACTATGTACCAACTTTTATGCTAACCATAGGGAGACATAAAAAATGAGACACTGTCACCTGTAATTTAGGAATTCACAGTTGGGGGGTGAGGACATACACATACACAGATATTTATAAAACAAAATTGAAATGTTTTTAAAGATAAGTTATTCTTGGTGGAAAGAATGGGGAATTTTAACTGTACCTCAGGGCAGAGACCAGGATAAGTGGGGAGAAAAACCTTCAGATTAGAACTGATTCTCAAAGAATGAATAGGAGGATCAGTAGGAATTTACTAGCTGGATAAAGTGAAAATCGGATGTGCCAAGTTAAAGTCTGCCTGTGGGAACTGTAAGTAGTTCTTCAGGGTTACACAGCATGTAAAGGACTAAGAAAACGTGAGGCTGGCAAGGTAGTATTCCTCCCTGTAATCTATACTATACCATATGTAGGCAGTATGATATATATACATATATATGATGTTAAAGACATTATTATGGTGTCTCCTCCAATCAAAATAAGCCTTTAGATTATTCCAAACCACTAGAGACACTATTATAACTAAGATGGGTCGACAATAGATTCCCAAGTAAAAGCTGATGCAATTATCCTTGAGTCATCAGTGAATGTTTCAAAGCTTGAGTACTGTTCAGATAACTTCCAGGGGGCTCATTATTCTGAGGCTTATATACCTTATTAGATTTGGAAAGATTATAACTGCCTTCTTTATGTGTGCCACATTTCCCCCCTTATTTGGATAAATAACATTACTTAATAAGCAAAATAAGTAATATTTTTTCATATAGCACTATAATAAAAGTTCCCATAAGCAGTTTTTTTAAGCCTAGTTTATTTCTTGATGTGGAAAATTGATAAATCTGTTAAAATACACATAATTTTGACCCTTCTCTCAAAGAATATGAGATTTGTACCTACAATAATAAATGGGGGTCTAGAAGAAATCTTAATCACCATAAGTTTATGAATCACCATAAGTCCATTTTGTATTATGGATAGTGGGCTTGTCAAATGTGAAAATTAAATAAATTAGAAGCTAAAATGCTATCTATTCCAGATTATTTTCAAGTTTAAGAAAAAGAGAAAGGTATATATTTAAAAGAGTTAAACAAGGCTACTAAATATGGAAAATTGGACATTGGAATACTATGTTTATTCAGCTTTCATTTTAAGAGTTGTGTTTTTTAAAGATAGACTAGTATAACCATTTTTTTGGAAAAAAAGTATTTAGCACTAATATTTTTCTTTTTACAGGTTGAAGAAGAAGGCTTGCAAATTTGTGTTGAAATATGTGGTTGTGCTCTACAACTCGACCTTCATGATGATCCCAAAACTAAATGTCTAATTTATAAAACAATTGCACATTTTTTGCCAAATGATTTGGAGATCCTCAGGATTTGTGCACTCTCAATATTTTTTCTGGAGCGCTCCTTAGAAGCGTATCGTACTGTTGAAGAGCTTTACAAACGTCCAGATGAAGAATATAATGAAGGCACAAGTAGTGTTCAAAATCGTGTTCGTTTTGAATTGCTTCCAATTTTGAAAAAGGGATTGTTTTTTGACCCTGAATTTTGGAACTTCGTAATGATTAAGAAAAACTGTGTAGCATTATTGAGTGATAAATCAGCAGTTAGATTTCTAAATGAAAGCACACTGGAAAATAATGCAGGTAATCTAAAAAGGACGGAGGAACAGCAAGGTTTGGATGAAGGGTTTGACTCTCTTACAGATCAGAGCACTGGAGAGACTGATCCTGATGATGTATCTGGAGTGCAGCCTAAAGGTCATATTAATACGAAGAAAAATCTTACAGCTCTCAGTACTTCCAAAGTAGATCACAATGTCCCAAGGCATCGTTGTATGTTATGTAACAAGGAATTTTTAGGTGGTCACATTGTAAGGCATGCCCAGGCTCATCAGAAAAAAGGCAGTTTTGCATGTGTAATATGTGGTAGGAAATTTAGAAACAGAGGACTTATGCAGAAGCATTTGAAGAATCATGTTAAGAAGATACAGAGGCAGCAAATTGCTGCAGCTCAACAGGATGATCAGGAAGTCACTGCTTTGGAAGAAATAAATTGTTCTAGTTCTTCCATTTCATTTGAAAATGGGAATTCTGATAGTAAGGATTTGGAAGTGGAGACACTTACTGCTTCTAGTGAAGGAAACAAAGAAGTCATCCCTGAGCATGTGGCTGAATTCATTGAAATTCCCATAAGTGTACCAGAAGATGTTATTGAAAATGTTATTGAAAATGGCAGTCCTAATAATTCTTTAAATAATGTTTTCAAGCCTTTAACTGAATGTGGGGATGATTATGAGGAGGAAGAGGATGAAGAAGGTGATTATGAAGAAGATGATTATGACCTGAATCAAGAAACTTCAGTAATTCATAAAATCAATGGAACTGTGTGCCATCCAAAAGACATATATGCCACAGATCAAGAAGGAAACTTTAAGTGTCCTGCTCTTGGTTGTGTCCGGATATTTAAAAGAATTGGGTTTCTAAATAAACATGCAATGACCGTACATCCAACCGATTTAAATGTGCGACAAACAGTAATGAAGTGGAGCAAAGGAAAATGCAAATTTTGTCAAAGGCAATTTGAAGATTCTCAACATTTTATAGACCACCTTAATAGACATAGCTATCCAAATGTGTATTTTTGTTTGCATTTTAATTGCAACGAGTCGTTTAAGCTGCCGTTCCAGCTTGCCCAGCACACAAAAAGTCACAGGATATTTCAGGCTCAGTGTAGTTTTCCAGAATGCCATGAGCTTTTTGAAGATCTTCCTCTGCTGTATGAACATGAAGCTCAACACTATTTAAGTAAAACACCAGAGTCATCTGCACAACCAAGTGAAACAATTCTTTGGGATGTTCAGACAGACTCAAATCCTAATCAGGAAAAAGACTCATCTAGTAATGAGAAACAAACTATTAGTCTGCCAGTTTCTACTAGCAAATCAAGGAAAGAGTCTACAGAACCAAAGACATGTATAGAAAGTATGGAAAAGAAAACAGACAGTTTAGTTCAGAATGGAAACGAACGTTCTGATGACACTGTTTCAAATATAAGCTTGATAGACCAAAAGATGCCTGACATAGAGCCAAATTCTGAAAATAATTGTAGTAGTAGTGATATAGTCAATGGACACAGTGAAATAGAGCAAACACCTTTAGTTTCATCAGATCCTGCTTTGAAAATTGATACAAACAGAATCAGGACAGAAAATGGTTCCATTTTGCCCAGTGTTGTACCACAAGAACACAACACCTTGCCAGTATCTCAGGCACCTTCCAAACCAAATCTGACAAGTGAACATACTTCATATGGCTTAATTTTAACAAAACCATACGTCAGACCATTGCCTCCCAGTTACCTTGATGAACGGTATCTTAGTATGCCAAAACGCAGAAAATTTCTGACTGATAGAGTAGATGCCTGTTCTGATCAAGATAACGTGTATAAAAAATCAGTGAAAAGATTAAGATGTGGCAAATGCCTGACCACCTACTGTAATGCAGAAGCACTTGAGGCTCATCTTGCACAAAAGAAATGTCAGACACTCTTTGGATTTGATTCAGATGATGAAAGTAAGTCTTCTGTCTTCTTAGTAGAGGTATCTGTAGAAAGAGAAAATGGCATAAATAAAACTATTATAGATCTTTGAGATTTAAAAAATTGATATTTGTGTAGCACAGGTAGTGAAGCATTACTCCATACATTATTTCCTTTAATACATACAACCACTATGAGGTGATACTAATATTCCTGTTTTATAGATCAAGCAACTGAAATTCACAAGTAATTTGCATAGGGCTTTGCCTATGAACTTGTGCAAGGCAGAACCTGAACACAGGTTTTTCATATTCTTTGATTATACTTCTTCACTGTATCAAAGGTTATTCTTCATTCCAAGTTTCATATAATAAAAGTTGTAATTTTGATGGGAATTATTTTTCATATGCATTCCAGAATATAAATCAAGTGAATCTGTGTCTCTGTTACAAAAATAGAAGGAGAAAAAGAACAGAAAATAATTGAGAAACAAAATCAGAAAAAGAGCTTGTCTGTCTACTAATATCAATATCCTTTAAAATGACAGGGTATAAATTAAACAGGAATCTGACTTGGAATTCCGGTCGAATGTCAATAAAACTTGCATTAACAGATGTGTTCTGTTTTACAGGTGCCTGATGAAAACGGTTCAGAAAGATCTGTCAATCAAGCAGTAGTGTGAAAAAAGCACTATAAGAAAATGCATCATCAGTTTGCTATTTCCCTGATGGCCTTAATTTTAGAGTGGTCTTGGATTACTAAAGATAAAGACAAAGCACATTTTCTAGAATGAACTCACAGAGATGTGCTGGCTTAGACTCCAAAAGGATTATAAAACTCCCAAAGTACCAGTTTTCCAGAAAACCACATTTTACAGTTTATGATGATTAATAGCAGCAGCATGTTCAGTTTCGCTTATATGAGAAACATGTTTAGGCAACTAGTCAGAAAACCAGCTATGGCCTTACAGAAAGGGAAAAATTAACCCATTATTAAAAAGTGTGTGTGGGGAGGGGGGCTGGTTTACAATATTAAACCATTTAAAGTATTTTATTCTACAAATGGGGTTTGTTTTCTTGTCATGCATAATCAGATTATGTCCCCTCCCTTCTGGTTAAACATGGTTTAAGGAACCGCTGCTGTTTGGTTTGTGATTGATTTAGAAACTTATACATTAACTTACCACAGTGCTATCAATTAAAGATTGTAACAGGTTTCCAGATGATTAATTAGGTCAAAGTTCAATGAATGGCACGCCAGCATTGAAAATTAAAAAACAAAACAAAAAAAACCACAGTGCTTTGCTAATAAGCTCTTGATAGAACCTCCCACTAACCACTTTTGTGGTACAAATTAGTTAACATTTAAAGGGCAGCAGTGTCAATAAAATAGAAAAAAACCGATCAGTACTCTGGGGAGAGATGAAAGGAATCTAAGACTTTACAGGCTTTGTAGTTGAAGGAAAACACTGAATTGCAAATTATTCAATGTGAATAATGGTAAAAGCACACTGGGATACTTCTGTTTGTGTATATGTTGGGACATTGCTTGATGATTCATAGTAAGGTCCTTTAGACATTAATGTGAGTTATCTAAGTACAGTCCTATTAAAATAACTGGCTCAAAAAATCAGCTAAGAATCAGGTTGAGAAATCATTCATTTTATTCTATTAGGAGAGGTAATTCCAAAATAAGCCATACTATTCCTGTTTTTTTAATTCATTAGTGATGACTCTGGTCTGAACAGTAATTTTTATATGTAAAAGGAAGTATTTACACAAAACATTTGCACAAGAACACAGTAAGAGATACATTCAAGCATTGTTTTCCTTAGTGATGTTATTTTCCTAAGAAGATTTTAACTTAATAAAGTGTTAAAACAATAAATATTTTTAAAAATACCCTCTCAGATGTTTTCCATTTGTCCATTATTGAAAGGAAGATGCTTAAAGACTTCCTTTTACTAATAGTGTGTAAATCTAAAACAGGGATTAAAATAACAAAAAGGCAGTGTTTCAAAACAGATCTCCTAATGTCCCAATGTCAAATATTCCAGTTATTCTAAATAATAAAATCTTTGTTCAAGGCAGATAATCTCATCAGACCCTATTAGAGCTTCTTGAATGAGGCTATTACGGAAGTGGGGAATTTCTTCCAGGTAGCATCCATATTTTATTAAATTAGGATTTCCAGATCATGATAGATCAGATGATTTTTTTTTAATTTCCCGGTTTTATTGGTTTATCATCAGCATTCACTACTATGCAATGATGGTCATAAGTCCATTCCAAATTTAAATTTGTTTCTGTTATGTAGCCTATATTAGGCTGTGGAATTTACATTTAGGTAACTAAACACAGCTCATAATTAAAATCTTTTCTTTAAGGTCAGCTAAAAAAAATGTTTCCTGTATTTCTTGATACTAAAAATGTAATGATTTTTATTTTAGTTCATTCTAAAAGTATGTCTTGTAATAAAAAGTCTGTTTGGAAACTGGTTCATTTGGACAGTGAAGTCTTTTGAAATATTTCTGCTTTGTACATTTTCCAGAAGTTTAATATTTTATCACATTTTCCACAAGTTGTAACAATTGATATAAATCCATGCCCACAAAGTATTCCATTTTCATTACTTTTACTGTTCATGCCAAGATGTTTCAAATATATTCCATTTGTAATCTGTCTTTAACTTGAGGTTTATTTCTACTTTTGTGTTGCTAAAATTATTTCTGCAAGACTGAGATCAAACTGGTTTATATATAACTAAATCAAGGAATGTTTTATAAAATTCTATTTGACCACACTGTCTTAACCTCGGTTTATATACTTCTCAAATAGCTATTGAAAGAATGTGTTCATTTTATTACATCTGTCTTTTAAAACATAAACCTACATCATTTTGCTTTTATAGGGTGCATAAACTTCCAACAGTTCTAATTTGAGCGCTTCAGAAGAAAAGGAAGCTTGCTTCTTATTCCTCAGATTCTTCTTTTTTTCTGTTTTGAGGATGTATTCATCCTACATGGACCAAGTTTCAAATCTTTGTTTTTAAATAAAAATTTCCTTCAAAAAATTAAATGTTAAATTTCTGCTGTGTGTCAGTAAGGTGAAGAAAATAGCAAATCTGAATTTTTGCTGCTCAGATATTATGGAGGAGGTAAAAAGGGGAATCTCCGTGGACAAGGACACTGGTACTTTGGGCTTTAGCCATATTCATTTTTTTGAAACCACCAATTATATAATACTTAAATAATTTATATCATTGAACTTGTGATTCTTTTCAAATCACACTGAAGGTTCAGCCGTACTCCTTTCATGTTTGGTTTAATACTGTTGTATGGATGAAAAACCTAAAAGGGATGATAGTGTTTATTTTTTAATTTATTTGGTACTGTAAAACACCTTTTCAGAATGAGTAAATGCTGCATATGCATTTTGGAGTTGTTAATATGTGAAAGATATTACAGATTCAGCAAGAAAGGAAATTTGTGCTTCCTTGTTGAATGTTAAATTATTTTACTTTGCATTTTATAAGAGTACAAATTAAAACTGAGCCATTGAACTGCAATAAATCAACAATAGTGTCTCATTTCAAGAAATTTTTTGTACTGTACATAGATTTGTTCAATAAAACGTCCTTGTTGGTAATCAAGTGTTCAATTTTATGTAGTATATTGCTTTCAAAAGGAATTAGACATATAAGGTATATATTAAATGAAAATGTCTATTATGTCTCATAAAGGAATGGCATATTTCAGTTAGTATATTACCATATTTGGATTGAGTGATTTTTTTAAACATAATATAGAAAATAGAAGTATCTAAAATTTTACACAAAATAGGCATTTTTGGACATTTTAACGAATGCCTATATGGAGGAATAAAAGTTGACAGAATTCTGTTTTTACTAAAGTCACTTCAGGTAAGTGGGTTCAGTGTGATATAGTACGTTCTGCAAACTTAGTAGGTGTCGGAACTCTCCGAAGTCAAGACAGTAGATAAATTTGTCTACACTGGTAATTCTTCAAAAATGAAGAGCTTCTGGTGGAACTTAAAAAAACAAAGACTGAAATCATTTTGAAATATTACAATATAAATGATGATGAAAATTACTTCCTAGGAAAGAATTTCACTGGGGAAATGAAGTCAGTAAGCTGTAACCCAAAATGATGTCTTTGAGCATGAAGGCTCCTACTTTTTTCGTTCACTAACAAAGGAAAACCGTCCAAACTATTAGCTATAACTTGCAATTGGAAAAAATGGGGCTTTAAGTAGGAAAAAAACTTTTGATGTGATGAGACCACACTGCAAATAGATAAATGGGATAAAATGATTTGTGCATGTTACAAGCATTATGCCTTGAAACACTATGAGAGTGTTATTGAAACATTCTAGAGCTGAGATCTAAAATGATCAGTCTGATTTATGGTCATATGATCTTAGACTCAATATATTCCATATTCAAAATAATGAATGTAGTGAGGTATTTGGACAAAGTTATTGGGGTTTAGATAACTTTTCATTTTCCTTTTCTGAAATTTGAAGAATTCTGGGAAGCAACTACTACTAAATAGGCTTCCAAGATAACCAAATTAAGCTGATTTTCATAGCATAATATCTGTACTGATACCAAGAATCAATTGATAAAACAGGGACAGATGTTTTAACTACATCAAGATTTGAAATAGAGTCAATCCACTAATACTTGGAATAAAAATTGTAAATGATAGAAAGTTTCATGCCTTATTGATGGGTACTGCACATTGGGGGGAAGAAATGGCTTGTTTATGTGTGCTGCCTCTAATTGTCACAACTCAAGGGTAAATATGAACACTGCTCTTTAGACACCAAAGCTCAGAAAGGTTAACCTGATTAAAATCATACAGCTAATAAATGCAGAGGGTGACTGAAAAATCAGATGTGTCCTAAAACCATGTTTCCATTGTGCCACACACTTTTCCCTACAAATGTAGACCATGAGTGGATCTAATAATCCACATGGGGTCAGATTTGCCTGAGGATCAGTGATTTCAAAGTCAAAGGATGAAGGCTGGTAGAGATATCTGGTTGATGTAGTGGTATCTTCTAGCAGTGATTCTTAAAGCGTGGTTTATAGAGCAGCAGAATCAGCATCACCTGGAAATTTGTTAGAAATGCTAAATTGTGGTCAGGTTGGAGGCCATCTGGCTTAACAAATCCTCCAGGTGATTCTGATACAAGCTAAGGTTTGAAAATCACAGAACTAAAGCAATAAAGTTCTTTGTATTTCCCTGGAAGATAAACAGTTCCCCCTTAAATTTATAGAACCCTCTCAAAAATTAGTTGCCAAGACATTTAAACAAGTCCCCTATTAATAGCTCCTTAAATGGTTGGGTGAATGGATACTTTAGTAGTAAGATCTAATATCCCAAACCGCTCTAATTGGGAGGGTTTTTTGTTGTTTTTTGCTCAAGTTGTATTCAGTAAATGAAACTACCAGAACAGAATTTGATGGAAACAGTGCAAAAAGGTGTGGGGATCAGTTATACTCAAATTCTAGCATGCTAGTTTTATCGTTGTGGAGAGTTATACATCCCATTGATACAGAATTTTGCTAAATTTCTCTTCATATTAGGTATGGCTCCCATACCCTGTCTTTGGCTCCAGTCATATTTAAACCCCGCACCTACCCTCATCATGTAATTTTAGTTCATGCATTTGTCACTACTATTCCCGTTTTACTGGTTGTTCACCTTTTTGCCTGTCCCATCTCATTCTTTGATTTAATCCTTCCTAAGCATAACCACTTTGTCAGAAAGCCAGATCTCTTGATTACTCCCCCAGCATTCCTCCTCTCAATAAATGGCAACTAGTTGCCCAAACCAAAACCTTGTAATCATCCCTGACTCTATCATGCCCTTCAAGCCACCATTTTCTCTAACCTGGACTATTTTAATAGTCTCCTAACTGGGTTCCCTGCTTCTACCCTTACCCTCCCCTTCAATCTTCACACCAGCAACGAAAGTAATCCTGTTCTGAGACAAGTCAGATAATGCCATTCCTGTTTAAAACCTGCCAGTGCCTTCAAAGCTCATTTATTCAACAAATATTCATTGGATACCTACCATGTGCGGGCCTCTGTAACAGGCAATGAAAGACAAAAATCCTGGCATCACAGAGCTCATATTCTACTGGGGGACAACAAACATACAGTATGTTTTTTGAGTATGAGTGCTATGCAGAAAAATAAAGTGGGTAGCAAATGCATAAATAAGCATGGTGTTGGTGGTGATTTTAAGCAAGATGATGAGGTAAGGCCTCTCTGATAAGGTGACTTTTGAGCAGGAACCTGACTAAAGTATGGGAAACAGCCATTCAGATATCCAAGGGAAGAATATGCCAGGGGCAAGAGCAAAGGCTTTGAGGCAAGAACCTATGGCAAGTTGAAGGAGCAGATGATAAGGGAACCACTGACTAGTCTGGAGAGATTGACAGAATAATAAGGAAGTCAGAGATAAAAAATGAAAGCTAAAGTCCATATAATGGTCTACAAGGTTGTATATCTACACTATCCAAGACAGTAGTCACTAGCCATGTGTGGCTATTAAAATTTAAATTCAAATAAAACATAAAATTCAGTTCCTTAGTTGCACTAAACAGTACAAGAAGCTCAAGAACCACATGTGTCTGATAGTTACTGTATTGGACAGCAAAAAACATTTTCACCATCTCGAAAAGCATCTTGACAGGTTTTACATCCATGGCTCTTAATTGTGGGTGATTTTGCCCTGCAGGGGACATGTAACAATGTCTGGAGGTAATTTTGGTTGGCACAGTGAGGGAAGGAGGTGCTACTGGCACCCAGTGGGTAGAGGATGGGGATGCGTTAAGCATCCCACAATGCACAGGACAATCCCCTCGACAAAAGATTATCCTGCCCAAAATGTCAACAGTTCTATGATTAAGAAACCCTGCGTTAGATCAGTCTTGACTGCAACTCTAACACATTGCTCATTGCCTCCTCCTTGCTCAAACGGGCTCCAGTCTCCTGGACTCCTTCCTCAAAATCTCTACTGTTGCTTCTTCCTACCATGCTTCTCCTGCGGCTCACTCACTTTCTTCTGATCTTCAGTCACTTAAAGAAGCTTTCCTTTCAACCTGTATAAAGTACTAACATCCTCTCCCATCCTTGTCTTCTGGATTTATTTTTTTCCATAGCATCTCCTGGCCGACTATATAGTTTCTTACATGTTTACTGTCTATTTCCTCCCAACAAAATGCAAGCATTGTTTTTTGTCCCCAGTACAAAGAACAATAACTGGCAAGTAGGTGCTCAATTATAATACATTTTTAATGAACGAATGAAATAAGTTGGACATGCCCTCCACGTGGTCCCATACCAACATATTTTAGCACTTATCTTGTCATCTCTTTACTAACAACACTCCCAAAAGCTCCTTGAAGAAAGGTCAGGGTCATGTCGCTGAACCTTCAATAGCTAACATAGCAGGCATTCATTAATACTTAATTTAAAATACGAAGAATTCCTGTGTTGAGTAAATGGTACCCCAATAACATCCACTGACAATTTCACCATATTTTGAATGCTTTAAGGACTACATGTACAATATATGACTGATATTTAGCTATTATTTATTTTTGAGACAGGGTCTCGCTCTGTCACCCAGGTTGGGGTGCAGTGAGTGTGGCGCGATCTCGGCTAACTATAACCTCTGCCTCCAGAGTTCAAGCGATTCTCCTGCCTCAGCCTCCGAGTAGCTGGGATTACAGGCGTCCGCCACCATGCCAGGCTAATTTTTTGTATTTTTAGTGGAGACGGGGCTTCTTTATGTTGGCCGGGCTGGTCTCGAACTCCTGGCCTCTTGTGATCTGCCCGCCTCAGCATCCCGAAGTGCTGAGATTACAGGCGTGAGCCACCGCGCCCGGCCAAGCTATATTTTAAACAAAGTTAAATTTGCTCACCAGGATCTGCAGATGTGTACATTTCAGCTACTAAATGGCAATACCCCAATTAAATGTCAACTGATCAAAAATAGGACTTAAAAATGGAAAAAGGCAAGTGACAATGCATTTAGTCTGATTCCTGTTTAACAGAGCATGACTATTTCTCTCGTAAATGTGTGTTGCTACCATGCCAATAGTAATAACAGCTAAAGTTTAGTAAGAGCTCTTTAGTAAGAGCCCCATGCACTGTTCACCCCGCCCCCACAGCCCCAAGAGGTAGGCATCTCCACTAGATCCACTTCCATTGGAAACTGAAGGGGAAAAGGCTAAGGAGCTTGCTTACAGTCAGGGTAAATGGCGGAGTAAAACCCTGGCAATCTGGCGTCCAGAACCCCCAACCTTAAATTGCGCGCGACATCGCCTCTTCTAAGGCCGAGCCGGCAACGAGGGAAATGGAGGCAAGAGACGGTCCCGGCGTGTTTGAGAGGAAAGTCCGCTGGAAGGCGGCCAGGCACAGTGGATTATCTATTTTTAACTTTTCATACTATAATGTTAAACAAAACTAAATTATTTTAATTTACTTAATTTAAGGAACCAAACTACCGGCTCACCCAACTCAGAAGTGGCCGCAGAAGACATTCAAGCGCTCCCGGGGGCCCGGCCAGCGGGCGGGGAGGAGCCGCCTCCATTGGCCGGCCCCGCGGCATCACGGGAGCTCGCGGTGCGCCCGGGTGGCGGGCTGCTTTCCACGCACCTGCACCTGCGCAGCCCTCCAAGGCGCTCTTTTGGAGGAGGGACTTCTCTTTCGGTAACCAGCTCCCTTGCGGATAGTCTATGTTCTCCATATAAACCCAGCACTTCCCTTAATTGAGATACGTGGGACTTCACTCCGTCCCCAGCCCGGAACCACAAGTGAGGGCACTGCGTTTCCTGATTGACCTCTTTGGCGATTACTTCCGCCCAGGGGCCTGGAATACTGGAGGCCCTTCGACGGAGAACAACAAGAAAGGCACTTCCGGTGTCTGTTGCCAGGCGCGGGCCCAGTGGGCCGTAGGGGCGACATTGTTGCCGTTGTCTTTCCCCCCCAGTCCCGGGGATGGAGATGTCGGGACTCAGCTTTTCAGAGATGGAGGGCTGCCGTAACCTACTTGGCCTACTGGACAACGACGAGATCATGGCCCTATGCGACACTGTCACCAACCGCCTGGTGCAGCCTCAGGACCGCCAAGGTAAGGGCGGACCCTTCACCTAGAAGGCTGCCGCCCCTTCCCCGGCCTCACGCCTACCCCGCTTAGGCAGAATCCTCGGGAATGTTGGCCGCAGCCGCAGATCCACAGCTCTGGAACCACTACGCCGACTTGGGCTGCCGGGTCAAGGCGGGGAGGTGGTGGCGGTGATAATGGCACGGCTTCCAGGTTTTATCCATTGAATATTATGGGCAGCGCTTGTTGATTCAAGGATTCGGAATAAGTCATTTAAATTTTTAAAAATTTTAAAAAATTTTCTGGGGAGCCAGAATGTTTTGCATTTTCAGTTTCGATCAGCTGAAGAGTCAGCTGCTGCTCGGGCTTTTTTCTTCAAGTTTGAGTGGGAGGAGGATGGCAAACATTTTGTATGTCTCTGGTAAAAAGCAACTACTGTAATTAAATGGCAGGCACCTTGAATCCATGTCTCCTTTTGGAGGCAAAATTTTTCTGAGATGATTTTCGTACTAGGAATACACACAAGCGAGCTAAATACATATACCGGTGGATTTTTAAGGGGTATTAGTGCTAAGTCTGATTGTGACTAGTCCATATAAAAATGTAAAGCGTTTGTTCATTTTGTGTGTCGGGTAGCTAGTTTTATTTTAAATTTGCTGAATTTTACTTCAAAACGTGAAAAATTCCAGATTCCCATATTAGTATATGATTATCTTTAAAAGATTCTGCCCTTATAAAACTGGGTTTTTCTGCTTAAGTCGGATTTCATTTTTGGCATTGAAGAAAGTCATTTGTCACTCCGAACCATGGACACTAAAAGAGGAAGTTCCAAAGAATTAAGACCGAAAATAGCTTTAGACTTATATGGTTCTTCAGCGTTTATTTTACATGGCTTTCACCTTCTTATAATCATGGTGAGTGTGAATTTAAAATTATAATGGATAAAATGCTGCATTTAATTATAGGGTATCTAAAAGCAAATAAGAAAAAAATTCCCAGTTCAAAAACGTTTAAATGACTTGAAGAAACATTCCTGGGGCAGGGGGTGGGGAATCACCCTTAAGCATATGAAAGTATACTCAGCATCTTTGGAAACTAATGAAATGAAAACCAGAAACAGAAGTTGTCTTTTCTGTGTACCAGATTGGAAAAAATATATATATATATATAAACTATAAACTTCAAGTGTTCATGATCAGGTGAAGCAACTCGTTGACAACTAGTGAAGGAGTTTAAGTTAAAACTGCCACTTTGAAAAAACAAATTTGACATCTCCTAAAATGGCAGATTAGACACATACTCGAGACCTAGTCTTCTCAAACTTGAATATGCTTTTGAATCTCTCAGGGATCTTGTTAAAATGCAGGTTCTGACTCATTAGTTTTAGGGGAGGCCCAGAAATTCTGCTTCTAACAAGCTCCAGGTTGATGCTCATACTGCTTGCCCCTTTTTGAGCACTGGGAGATGTGTATGAGAATGTTCAAAGTAACAGCGTTTGTAATTGGACGCAGAATAGAAGTCTGTAAACAGAAGAATAGTTGGATACCTTGTGTGCAGTCATATAACTAATTATGATATAGCAGTGAAAATGAGTTAGCTATGTATATCAAATTAATCCAGAAAATATTGAATGAAAAGCTGATTACAGAAAACTATATACTGTATATGGATGGATTGAATTTATAGCACAATTTAAAACATACCAAACTAAATATAGTTCAGGGATACATACTTATGCTGTACAACTATAAAAGAAGGGAAATTTTAAAGCAACATTTAGGATAGTAGCTACTCTGAGGTGGATGCGAATAAAGAGGAATAGCATTAGGGAAGAGACGAAATGGGGGCCTCAAAGATAGTAATTTCTTATGTCCTAAGCTAGGGGGTATGCATATGGGAGTTCGTTTTATTGCCATTCTGTATGACTCACACATGTCAGAAATATTCTTTGGTCTTGTATTTTAAAATACAAGTGGGCCAGGTGTGGTGGCTCACGCCTGTAATCCCAGCACTTTGGGAGGCCGAGGCAAGCGGATCATCTGAGGTCAGGAGTTCAAGACCAGCCTGGCCAACATGGTGAAACCCCGTCTCTACTAAAAATAGAAAAATTAGCTGGGTGTGGTGGCACACACCTGTAACCCCTTGGGAGACTGAGGGAGGAGAATCCCTTGAACCCAGGAGGTGGAGGTTGCAGTCAGCTGAGATCGCGCCACTGCACTCCAGCCTGGGTGACAGAGTGAGACTCTGTCTCAAAAGAATAAAAATTAAAATATATAAAGATACAAGCCCTGGTTCTGCCACTTTCTAGAAATACAATAGTTGGGCCGGGCTTGGTGACTCACACCTGTAATCCCAGCACTTTGGGAGGCCGAGGCGGGCGGATCATGAGGTCAGGAGATCGAGACCATCCTGGCTAACACGGTGAAACCCTGTCTGTACTAAAAAAATTAGCTGGGCGTCGTGGCAGGCGCCTGTAGTCCCAGCTACCTGGGAGGCTGAGGCAGGAGAATGGCGTGAACCTGGGAGGCGGAGCTTGCAGTAATCCCAGATCGCACCCCTGTGCTCCAGCCTGGGCGACAGAGCAAGACTCCGTCTCAAAAAAAAAAAAAAAAAAGAAATACAATCATTGATACCTAATATGGCCTCAACTTTCATTATCTGTAGAGTGAGGAGATATGACTAAAATTCCTTGACATCTAAAATATTGTTGTAATTGTCCCTATTTTTAGAGGTTGTGCATGAATTTAGGACTGTTGGCCTTATTAGAAAAAATATTTTTTCTCACTTAAATGTTTTCTTAAAATGTAATTCTTTAAGAGGAAATGCTAAACTTTCACTATCACTTATGGGAAGTGAACAGAAGAGATTTTAGGTAAGGGAAGTTTAAGGCATAAAGATGTTAAAAGAAAACTGACAACGGACTTCCTATTTTTTAAAAATGATGACTATCATGTAACAGCAATAATGCTGTGACGAGAGTTTATAAACATATTTGATAGAGTTTCTGCCCACCTGGCACAAATTTGTAAGTGCCTCATGATTTTTTATTAATCTTTGCAATTTCTTTCTAGATGCTGTTCATGCAATATTAGCATACAGTCAAAGTGCAGAAGAACTTCTGAGGCGTAGAAAAGTCCACCGAGAAGTTATATTTAAGTACTTGGCAACACAGGGGATTGTTATACCTCCAGCTACTGAAAAACACAATCTTATTCAGCATGCAAAAGATTACTGGCAAAAGCAACCACAACTGAAATTGAAGGAAACGCCAGAGCCAGTTACAAAGACAGAGGACATCCACCTATTTCAACAGGTAAAATAAATCTTATGGTTGTATTCTGAACCTTTGTTCTGTCTGAAACTTTGTTGATAATCCTAGATTGTGGGGAACATGGTTAATAATGTTTGTGGGGTTTTTTTATTTTTATTTTTTAAGAGATTCTTGCTCTGTTGCCCAGGCTGGAGTGCAGTGGTGTAATCATAGCTCACTGCAGCCTTGAACTTCTGGACTCAAGTGTTCTGCCCACCTCTGTCTCCTGAGTAGCTAGGGCTACAGGCATGCACCACCATGCCTGGCTAATTTTTAAAATTTTTTGGTAGGGATAGGGTCCCAACTATGTTGCCCAGGCTGGTCTTGAACTCCTGACCTCAAGTGGTCCTCCCGCCTCAGCTGGAATTACAGGCATGAGCCACCATGCCCAGCCTATTTTTTTTATATTTTATAATTTTAACTTTATTTCATATCCTATCAATCCTGAAGGAAGGAAGAGACCAGTAAAGCAACTAAGAGCAAAAATATTTCTGACATATAGTGATGCATATATAATCATCTATTGATATGTGAGAAAGTATTTTTCAATATCAGCATCATCAAATGAGGACTATTGGATTTTTAGAGAGTAAACTGCAAGGTTAATTTTAACTTTAGCTCCGTGTAATTTTTTTTCACTTTAGAAGAATTTTATTGCAAATTCTTTCTCACTTTTAAGACGTTTTTGGTATTGCAAAAATGTCATGAAAGGAACTTAAAATTTTACTTTAAAAAAAATTTTCTTTTAAGTTCCAGGGTACGTGTGCAGGTTTGTTAGATAGGTAAACATGTGCCATGGTGGTTTGCTGCGCCTATCAACCTATCACCTAGGTATGAAGCCCAGCATGCGTTAGCTATTTTTCTTGATGCCCCCGCCCCCACATTGGAACCTAAATATTTTTTATACTTTTTTTTTTTTAACTAGAAAAAGTCCTATTGTAGAAATATTCTCCAGCGGACATTGGCTGTTTCTGTTCTTTATATTATCTCCACTGTACATTTTAGATACTGCACAAATATTTAAGTGTTGCTTGAATTAACCTCTATGTAATTTGCAGATTTTTAAACTACATACCACATTTTTTGAATTAATGAGGTTTCACAGTGAGAAAGCTTTGCCTTCACACTAGGAAAGAATCTTTAAGAGCTTTCTTACTTTATGTACTGATAAGAGCATTGACTTTGAAATCATACAAATACGACTTCAAATTAGGGTCTGCAATATACTAGGTGTGTTAAATTAGGCAAATAACCAGTGCCACGCACAGTGCCCAGTGTATTAAATAGCAGGTGCTCAGTAAACCTAAGATCTCATACATCTCAGTAAAGTACTGTGTTGTGGAACACATGGATGAATGAGATCTAGTGTATCAGGTAGATTTTTACAGTAACTTTTTTTTTTTTTTTTTGAGACAAAGTCTGCCCTGTCACCCAGGCTGGAGTACAGTTGGCATGATCTCAGCTCACTGCAGCCTCCACCCTCTGGGTTCAAGCACTTCTCCTGCCTCAGCCTCCCAAGTAGCTGGAATTACAGGCATGCGCCACTACACTCAGCTAATTTTTGTGTTTTTAGTAGAGACGGGGTTTCACCATGTTGTCAAGACTGGTCTTGAACTCCTAACCTCAAGTGATCTGCCTGCCTCAGCCTCCCAAAGTGCCGGGATTACAGGCATGAACCACCACGCCCAGCTTACAGTAACATTTTCTGTGAAAAAAGAGAAATAATAGAATAAAATTAATCCCAGTTATAGAAAATAACCTGTTTCAATCACCGTAAGAGTATCTATTTAAAGACAATGAAAATGCTTGCTTATATTAACTTTATGTCATTTATATGCAAAATGCATCCATTTAAAGTGAACGTTTTGAAGGTTTTCACATATATACCTGTGATATACATATATACCTGTGAAAACACTGCCACAATCTGAGGAAACACTTACATAAATCATCATATAATTTATATATTTTTATATATGACTGTTCATACTGATTTTTTTTTTTTTTTCACACGGAGTCTCGCTCTGTTGCGCGGGCTGGAGTGCAGTGATGCTATCTTGGCTCACTGCAACCTCCACCTCCCAAGTTCAAGTGATTCTCCTGCCTCAGCCTCCTGAGTAGCTGGGAATACAGGTACACGCCACCATGCCCGGCTAATTTTTGTATTTTTAGTAGAGACGGGGTTTCACTATATTGGCCAGGCTGGTCTCAAACTCCTGACCTCACCATCCGCCTGCCTCCTCCTCCCAAAGTGCTGGGATTACAGGCGTGAGCCACCACGCCCGCCAAGTTCATACTGATTTTTAAATTGGCCTTACTAAACCTTACTCTCTTAGCTGAATTTTCAGCAATTTAAGCTGGAAATTTCTAAAATGATTTTTCTCCTCTTGAAAAAAGATTTTTACTATGCATAATGGGTTCAGCAAGTTCACATATGGTTCATTTCTCTCTGGTGTAATGGGTTCATTCAAACTTAATAGGCTAGATAGAAAAATAGATATGAAAGTTAAACCTTAGTGTTATTTTGTATTTATTTTATTTGTTTCAATCAGCAGGTGAAAGAAGATAAAAAAGCTGAAAAAGTTGATTTTCGTCGCCTAGGAGAAGAATTCTGTCATTGGTTCTTTGGACTTCTTAATTCTCAGAATCCTTTTCTAGGACCACCTCAAGATGAATGGGGACCACAGCACTTCTGGCATGATGTGAAGCTTAGGTTTTATTACAACACATCAGAACAAAATGTTATGGACTACCATGGAGCAGAAATCGTGAGCCTTCGTTTGCTGTCACTAGTAAAAGAAGAATTTCTTTTTCTCAGCCCCAACCTAGATTCACATGGACTGAAATGTGCATCTTCTCCTCATGGGCTGGTTATGGTTGGAGTTGCTGGGACTGTCCATCGAGGAAACACTTGTTTGGGCATTTTTGAACAAATTTTTGGACTCATCCGCTGCCCTTTTGTGGAGAATACTTGGAAAATCAAATTTATCAACCTGAAAATTATGGGAGAGAGTTCCCTTGCTCCTGGAACATTACCGAAACCATCTGTTAAATTTGAACAAAGTGATCTAGAGGCCTTTTATAATGTAATCACTGTATGTGGTACCAATGAAGTACGACATAATGTAAAGCAGGCTTCGGATAGTGGAACTGGGGACCAAGTTTGAGGTAGTGGAAATGAGACATTGCTGAACAAAAGAGAACTGGGTTTACCTGACCCTCTAAAGCGCTAAGTACTGTCAGCCTGAAAAAAATCTTCTATACAGAAACTCTTCCAAATACTATATCAGTAATGTCTGAATGATTTCAGATGTGAAAATTGACATATTTTAGTTGAAATACCTTTCTGGACTACAGACTTACATATCATGTGAATACTTACCTATTTCTACCCGAGTTGCAGCAAGTATTCTGAAAGCTTAATGCAAATAAATCCCACTTTAGATCTTACAGCTAACTGTGTGCCTTAGAAACCAGGTAATATTTTCCTTTTACTTAGTGAATATTCTGCTAATATCTGCACTTTTCATGTGGGAAAGGATTAATAATGGTCCAGGCTTCCCCTCTTTAAGTTTCATGTTTACTTTTGTCTAACTCTGGATAATTGTATTTTACAAATGCATCTCACTGTAGTATATTTTTAAAACTATTAAATATTTTAGAGATGTTTAACGTAAACTCAAAGTTCTCATTTTAGAAAATTTAAATAACATTCTTTTTGCAAAAAAGTCCAATAATTTAACAGTTGAAGAAAAACTTACTACCTCTTTAAAGATTTGAGAAACATTTTTCAAAGTTATCAGCTGTAGTCCAAGCTAAATATCTTTTGTAATCTGCAACATTTTCCTTACTGTTTTTGGGCAGTGATAAATGCTGTTCTCGAAATAGACTTTATTCTTACCTAGGCTTCAGACAACAGTTTTATAGAGCAGTTACTGTAATACAATATAAAGGAAATATGCTGTTGAAATTTTAAAGGTATGCCCAGTTCCTAACTTTTAAACGAATTACCGTTCTTCCTCTTGGCTGATCTTGGCAGAGATGACAAAAAAAACCCCAAAACAACCCATGCATGTATAATGTGTGTATACACATATACATAAGTATACATATACTCCCACATTATAACTTAGAATATTTAGTTTTTTACCTGTTACTAGGTTTGAGTTACATGGTTGAGTTGCCAAATTATTTACATGCTTTGTTTAAATTCTTCATCACCTAGCAACTGTTTGCTGATCATGGATTTACTTAGTTACTTTAATTTATAAAATTACCATTTGGAAAAGAACTCAATTGGGAAATGTGATGACGTATTGTACATGTTACTTTTTCCTTTGCTATAATCATCTAGGGAGACTGATAAGAATTTTGGAAATGGGAGCCTGGAAACTCATCTTTGTTTTTTTAATGCTATGCCTCTTACGAGGAATACGAATTGGTATGTCCTAAAATAAGAACTTAATAAAGGAGGGAAATCCCTTTTGTCTGCTATAAGAATAGTGTATCGTTCAGATTTAATTTATAGTTGTGTTGCTCTTAGAGTTTTAGGCATTTAACGAGAACAAAGAAAATTTTATAACTGCTAGTTACACTGTTATTGTAATATAATTAAGTATAAAGAAAATAGTGTGCAAAATAATTTCCTCTCATATTTTTATAAAGGTACACAATCAGGTCACAAGTCCATCTTTATCCATCCTATACCTCTGCTTGAGTTTTGAAAACTGGGTTACCTTTTATTTCTTAGTTTGAAGTTTGAAATATCATTATAAAGTGTAATAGGTAAACATCCTAAGTAAAGGATAAAATTAAAAACCATTCTTGTTACTAGAGATACTCAAAAAGGGCAGGGATTTCCTCTAGGTACCTTTAGTATTAAACTTTTGAGTTCGTGTAAAGCACAAATAAGGCTGCAATTTCTGCACATAGTTTTGAATCAACCTTAAAAATGTAAAATCTTTTTGATAGTCTTGAGATTCTTGAGGATTAATGCTATTTTATTTCATGTTTATTTCATGAATCCCTAGATATGGGCACACTACAGCCTAATATTGGAGTGAATGCATTAACGAATGAGCAAAAACAACTTATATACTGTGTACAAAAGGCTTTTCCGCTTCTAGAGTTTATCTTTGGTTCTTCTCATCAGTGTTACTTTTTCAGTCACATAGTTTCTTTGAATTTCATACTTGAATACGCAGAAACTTTTAGGCCCCCAAAATAACTCAGATTTGTGAGGAGAAAGATACTGACTTTAAAAGCCCAGGATCAGTAAGAGACCCTGAGATTCCTGAGGCTACCTGGAAAACATTACAGGGGAAGTGTATGAAGAAACAGTATTTGGAGGAGAAAGACCTAGAGGAACTGAAGTCTGTTAGTGAAGCTTGAAGCTTGATCAGCCTTTTGTGAGAACAGCCAAAAAGCACAGTGCCAGGATTGAACTCTACTTGTGCAGGATTGAACCCCATTAGTCTTTTTATGCCAGGGAATGGTGGAGAAAGAAACCAGCTGTAGTTCTCTGTTTTGATATACCCAACCGGTATTTGGAAAGTCTGGAGTCAGTTGTAAAGAAGAATACATTACAGATAATTCATCATAATTGGGTGGTCAAACTGGGGAGACCATCTGGACCTTTACTTTCTGTAGGCTAATTTGCCATAGCCTAATAACAGGGCATACATAGTAAATATCCTTTTTTGTTAAAATTTTTTAAAAATTGTAATAGTTATGTTAGGATACTTTGTTAGAATCTAGAATGTGAAATAACGTACTTCATGTGTCTTCTTACCAAAAATACCAACGATAAGGGGAAAAGCCATCTTTAATTTATTAAATCAACTTGAAAATGGCAAACAAGATAGCAGATCAGGAAATGTTCCTGGGTTTTCAGAAAGGTAACATACTAAAAGAAGGTTAGTTACCTAGTACCAACAAGAAATTGTAATAGTGGGCTGGGCGCGGTGGCTCACGCCTGTAATCCCAGCACTTTGGGAGGCCGAGGCGGCGGATCACCAGTTCAGGAGATCAAGACCATCCTGGCTAACACGGTGAAACCCTGTCTCTACTAAAAATACAAAAAATTAGCCAGGCGTGGTGGTGGGCACCTGTAGCTGTGGCAGGCGCCTGTAGTCCCAGCTACTCGGAGGCTGAGGCAGGAGAATGGCGTGAACCTGGGAGGTGGAGATTGCAGTGAGCTGAGATTGCACCACTGCACTGCAGCCTGGGTGACGGAGCGAGACTCTGTCTCAAAAAAAAAAAAAAAAAAAAAAAAGAAATGGTAATAGTGTCTGAAAAAAGATTTAAAAAACAGTGGCTTAGAAAAAAGTAAAAAACTGCGTTTTAACAAAATAGGTTATACGGCTAAGTAGATCATAAAAATGAATGCACATCCCACTGTAATGTTATCCTTAGGATATCTCTGTTTTTACAAACTTAGATGACCTTTTCTTCACTGCTTCATTTGGGTTGTGGAAGTTGGTCATACAAGTTGAGTGTTGTGTTCTTACTCATGAAAAATGTTTGCATGAATTTTTAGAGTTTTTACATATTTCATTGAGTCAGTGGGTTTCACTAAAACAGCTGTGTGTCTTATTCTCCATGTCTGGAAAATCCTGCCGTAATAATTACATTTACCCCAGACGACTACTCTACTGTGTTAAAAAGTGAAAATATTTATAAAAGATTTTGTGGTATTTTTAAGTCCTTAAGTTAGAGGACTAAACCTTTTTTATGAATGAAAGGATAATCTCTAGGAAATGTTAGTTTATGATAGTTTGTAACTTGTGAATTTTGGTTTCCAGACATGGAGACAAAACCAACCAAAATACTGTCAAGTGGAACGTAAAAATATTAATTCAGAATTCATTTTATTTTGGCAAGATAAATTTAATGAAGAATAATTAACATGCTTTGGAGAAAGTGATAAAAACATGAAAAAAAAATTTAGAAATGATTCTCCAGACCTTTACAAAAACTTTTCCTAAGAAATTATTTAGAAATAATTGTATATTGCTAATTCTGATGAAAGATTTTGAAAACAGGAACATTTCTTCTTTACAAAACTTTTCCTAAGAAAAGACTTTTACAAAAACTTTTCCTAAGAAATTATTTAGAAATAATTTTATATTGCTAATTCTGATGAAGGATTTTGAAAACAGGAACATTTCTTCTTCCGGGCCTATCTATGTATGTGATCTCACCTTATACCTCTTCTTCCTGCCTCTCCTCTCACCCCCAAAATCCTATTCATAACCTTTGTTATTTACCCAGTTTTGATGCAGATAGCACAGCGTCCATGCTAGGAAACAACACTTTCTGGATTGGGATTCTCTTCAAGTTTATTTGGCATATATTTATTGGGCATCTGTTGGTAAGTCACTGAATCAAGTGCAAGACAAAATACATCAGTAGATTATTTACATAAACTTACATTGGATTCAGATCTCAGTCTCTGGGTTTAAGTTTTCTTAAGGTGGAAACTTCTTTAGGCCCTTTGTCAAAGGATTCAGATCCTTTTATATGGTCTGGAAAAATTTTTAATTGAAATTTTAAATAACCATATGACTCTAGCTAAGACATATAGATTTTTTTTTTTTTTTTTTTTTGAGACGGAGTCTTGCTCTGTCACCCAGGCTGGAGTGCAGTGGCGCGATCTCTGCTCACTGCAAGCTCCGCCTCCCGGGTTCACGCCATTCTCCTGCCTCAGCCTGCTGAGTAGCTGGGACTACAGGCGCCCGCCACCACGCCTGGCTAATTTTTTGTATTTTTTTAAGTAGAGACGGGGTTTCACCGTGCTAGCCAGGATGGTCTCGACCTCCTGACCTCGTGATCCGCCCGCCTCGGACTCCCAAAGTGCTGGGATTACAGGCGTGAGCCACCACGCCCTGCCTTTTTTTTTTTTTTTTTTTTTTGAGACGGAGTCTCGCTCTGTCACCCAGGCTGGAGTGCAGTGGCACAATCTCGGCTCACTACAACCTCTGTCTCCCGGGTTCAAGTGATTCTTCTGCCTCAGGCTCCCGAGTAGCTGGGTCTACAGGTGCGTGCCGCCATGCCTGGCTAATTTTTTTTGTATTTTTAATAGAGACGGGGTTTCACCGTGTTAGCCAGGATGGTCTCGATTTCCTGACCTCGTGTTCTGCCCGCCTTGGCCTCCCAAATTTCTGGGATTACAGGTGTGAGCCACCATGCCTGGCGCCATATAGATTTTATCAATACAAAATACAGGATATTTTGACAGGCCACTTTATTTAGAATTGGAAACAAAAGTTTCCAAATTGTTTGAATGTGCTAAATGCTTTTAGCTTTATTTTTCTAGTCTGAACCTTTCCAGTAGCCTTTCAGTAAGATGTAAATATTGAAATTAAATGTAATATTTACTGTGGTATATAAAACCAGAAACTCCAGAACTACTTGTGTTAGTCATGAAATCACTGGCCTAGAGTTTGGTAGCTTCTAACTTCTATTGCCAGTACTGCTAAATCTTCTTTTTTTTTCTTTTTCTTTTTTTTTTGTGAGTCATTTGGTGAGGCTCTTGATCAGTAATTTTCATCTTCAGTTTGTAGATATCTTAAGTCTCAGGTGTGCAATTAGTTATACTTGAATTAATAAATTTAAGGATTGAAGGAAAAATCACCCACTGCCAGCTGTTACTTGTCTGATTCAGTGTTTTCTGAAAAAAAAAAAAAAAAAAAAAAAAAACCAGGAAAGCCTTTTCCTTAAAACATTTAGTTTATAAGTTTGCATCTTTTCCATGTCTCATCTTTTACTATACTAATTAGTATCACACTTAATTCTCAAATTGTTACATGTAAGTTACCTTTGCCTCCCTAAATTGTAAATTATTAGAACCGGTGATTCTTACTTATTTTGCAGTCTTCTTTTTCCCAGTGCCTTGCACAGGATAAGTCAAATTTGGGGTGCTTATTACATGCCAGTTACTATTCCATATACATTGCATGTATTTACTCATTCAATCTTGTGAGCAGCTACATGAGATAGATGCGATTATCCCTCTTTTACCTGAAAACAGGATTGAATAACTTCCTAGGCTATCAAAGTATGCGATAAATACTGTGACTACACTATATTTCCTCATATGTAGTAGGGTTTTGAGGAATACTTTTTGACTGATTATCTTCAATGTGAAGGTTTTCATTTGCTGGCATTTATTTCCAAAACAAAGATTCCTTTAATCTATATTGCTTGTCTAAATGCAGAGTAGGAGTATTATTTCATATTGTATTCTACTTGTAATTATATCTCGAATTGCTTATTTAGTGATTTATAACATCTTGGAGAAAAATACAGAATATTCATGTAAAACAATATTTCATAAAGATAATTGGGTAACATATGTAACAATTTATATCAAATCTCTTGAACTCACCACAATCTCTAGTCTTTTTCCCCTCCTGTTTATGACACCATTGTGCTTTTAGTGTCAGAGACAGTCTTTGTTTCATATGTTCAATTTCTTGCCACATCTGGATGTAGCGTATCTGTAGTGTTTTCTGTTTCTGCTGCTGCTGTTAGGTTCTCTTTACCTAACCTTTCACTAATTTTAATCTTATTTCTCTGCTTTAATATTTGTTGCCTATTTATGACATTAAAATTTTCTTAAAGTACAACTTTCATGTGCAGAACTTTCAGTGGTGTTGCATTACCTCCAAAATAAAATCCAGATTTCATAATCTGCCATTCATCGCCACCTAGTTTGATCCACTCACTTTCACACATTGTTTGGTACAATCATCTACTAAGTAGGCTTTCTCTTTATCCTGTACTTACTTAGACCTCTGTTTTATGCCCACGTATCCAAACTTAATTTTTGGCCAGGCGCAGTGGCTATCTCCTATAATCCCAGCACTTTGGGAGGCCGAGGCGGGCGGATCACAAGGTCAGGAGTTCAAGACCAGCCTGGCCAACATGGTGAAACCCCGTCTCTACAAAAACAAAAATTAACTGGGCGTGGTGGCATGTTCCTGAAGTCCCAGCTACTCTGTAGGCTGAGGCAGGAGAATTGCTTGAACTGGCACCCAGGAGGCAGAGGTTGCAGTGAGCTGAGATCGTGCCATTGCACTCCAGCCGGGGCTACAGAGTGAGACTCAGTCTCAAAAAAAAAAAAAAAAATATTTATTTTTATTTTTTATTACAGGCAGTTGGATAATATATTGTAGAAAGAAAAGAACTATGATTCAAACAGTTTAATAATGAAATTTCTTCAATAAATCAAGCATTATTCCTCTGCAGGAGTTTTGTGTACATTGTCTAGAATAATCTTTCCCAAGCTTTTTGCATGGCTGCTTCATTTTCACCTTTGAGGCTGCCTGCCTTTTATCTTGGATTAAATGTATTCTCTTATCTAAATTCTCAGTATTTATCAGAGCACCTTGTTTGTTTGAGTCTAGCACTTTAGATATTATTTGGTAATTTACTAATTTATTATGTATCTCCCCCAGTAAATTTTAAGCTGAGAACAGGGACTGTA
The DNA here is from genome assembly GCF_000001405.40 of Homo sapiens. Lineage (NCBI taxonomy): Eukaryota > Metazoa > Chordata > Mammalia > Primates > Hominidae > Homo > Homo sapiens. Next base: position 88,163,958 of record NC_000003.12, read on the forward strand.
ACTGTTTTACTCACATTATATTTGTATTGCTTTGCACAGAGACTAGATATTAAATATTTATTAAAGATAGAAATAAGGAAGTGATGCTACTTTGTATTCAAAGCTTTATATATTCCTAGACCTTTGCTTATCTGTTAAAAACAAGACCTAGCATATAACATATATTAGATGCTCAGTAAATATGTTTAATGAATAAAACCAAAGTTATCTTCTGGAATCATAATACATGAGTTCTAATACACCCTGGTAGATAGAATTATCTAGTTCTTATACTTTTATTTGTTGTTGAGATGGAGTTTCACTCTTGTTGCCCAGGCTGGAGTGCAGTGACACGACCTCAGCTCACTCCTGGGTTCAAGTGATTCTCCTGCCTCAGCCTCCCGAGTAGCTGGGATTACAGGCGCCCACCACAACGCCCGGCTAATTTTTTGTATTTTTAGTAGAGATGGGGTTTCAACATATTGGCCAGGCTGGTCTTGAACTCCTGATCTCAGGTGTTTCACCCGCCTCGGCCTCCCAAAGTGCTGGGATCACAGGCGTGAGCCACCACGCCTGTCCTAGTTCTTATACTTTTTTTTTTTTTTTTTGAGACCAAGTCACGCTCTGTCACCCAGGCTGGAGTGCAGTAGTGTGATCTCGGCTCACTGCAAGCTCTGCCTCCCAGGTCCGCGCCATTCTCCTGCCTCAGCCTTCCGAGTAGCTGGGACTACAGGCGCCTGCCACCATGCCCGGCTAATTTTTTCTATTTTTTAGTAGAGATGGGGTTTCGCCATCTTAGCCAGGATGGTCTCGATCTCCTGACCTCGTGATCTGCCCGCTCAGCTTCCCAAAGTGCTAGGATCACAGGCCTGAGCCACCACGCCTGGCCCCTAGTTCTTATACTTTTATGAAAGACAAAGAAGGTGAAGTGCTCCCCTGACCCCCCAACCCCGAAAAAAGCTTAGTAACATGCTGAAGGTCACATAGTTTTGTTGTGGTGACCTGGCCTGTTTTGTTTTTAACAGCAAAGCCCATGTGTTTTTCTTGCACTTTGTTTACCGTCTGACTACTGCCATTTCCTTAATTTCAAAGATTTTCAACTTGAATCCTCAATTTCTTCACATGAAAAAATGGACCATCTAGATTAGATGGTTTCTAAGGTCTGCTGTGATTTTAAAGTTATGTAGCATTGTGGCTGTATGTCTTCACAGCAGTTCAAGAATATTGCTTTTAAAGGAATTTGTAGTTCTTTGTTGGGAAAATTTTCTATTATTTTGCTTCCTCATAAGTGATGCTCATCTTTTCAAAGAAATACATATACATTTTTAAGTGTATGTATGAGTAGTATGTGTATTTCTGTCTACAAAATTATAAAATGATGAAACTATTCTGTCATACCTAGAATATAAAAGGGAAAAAAGTGTGAATTCTTTAAATATTTTTCTATGTCCTAATCACTGGAAGTCCTATAGTTGTTTCAAACTGTTCTGTAAAATTTGTCTTGTTGCTTATGTTCAAAATATATTTCCATGTTTTAGTGAAGAAAAGTACAAAGTGGCTTGACAGAAAGTGAAATTAAGACTGCTGGTAATCCTTTGAAGAGACTTAGTAATAGGAGTTGGCAAATATTTAAGAGTGGCATTGGAGACAAATGGCAGATTCAGGATAGGCTGTTTCTGTAGGAAGCATGGTTCTGGATGAGTGCTGCTCATAAAGTCATTGAAAGTTATTCCAGATAGTTTAATAGAAGTGTTTGTTTAGCAAAGACAACAGATTTTGCTATTTTGACTGCATTGATTGTATTAGTTCAGATTTATGAAAGAAAGAGCCCGGAATACAGAAATAAGATAACAATAGAAAATTTAAGCATGTCAAGAACTCTAATGCTGGAATTGTCACAGCAACCACAAAATTACTGGGCATCAATAGACTCCTAAGAATTAAGAGAAATTGCAGAATGTAAGCCATAATTGTCATTTTAGGAACATTATGCTAGAGCACAAGTTTAGGATTGGGCAAAAGAGTTGATTTTTAAGATTGCATTGGTGTTCTCTCTCTCTCTTTTTTTTTTTTTTTTGGAGACGGATTCTTGTTCCGTCACCCAGGCTGGAGTGCAGTGGCACAAGCTCGGCTCACTGCAACCTCCGCCTCCCAGGATCAAGCGATTCTCCTGCCTCAGCCTCCTGAGTAGCTGGGATTACAGGCATGCTCCACCATGCCCGGCTAATTTTTGTATTTTTAGTAGAGACAGGGTTTCACCATGTTGGCCAGGCTGGTCTCAAACTCCTGACCTTGTGATCCACCCGCCTTGGCCTCCCAGAGTGCTGTGATTACAGCTGTGAGCCTCCGTGCCCAGGCCAGTGTTCTCTCTTAAATGTGTTTCAATATGGTGGACATTTATTGAGCACTTGTGTTGGGCGTTTCAACAGGAGGCACTGGTACGAAAAGTAGCTTGTTCTAGTTCATATATCATTTGCACTTTGCTTAACTTGTATAAGTACTTTTTACTGTTTAATAAATATTTTATTAGAAAATACTTCTCTGATCTCTCATTGATGCCCTTCTTACTATTTTAACCATTGTCATCTTTGGACATCTGTCTGAATTGTGGGTAAGACCTTAACCTTTGGAGTAGAGAGCAATGCTGCTTACAAAATAATGATTGTTGGTAGTCTGTTCAACAGATTTGCAATTTCAAAAAGAAAAAAATGCAACTTTTTCCCACATCTTTCACATATATTTTGCAAATCTTATGCACATAATTCACATATTTTGCACATTTTAAATGTAAGATGATTTGCATGACAATCCCCTTAAGTTTTTAAGTGTTAGTTTATTGTAGATGCTTATGTACACAGTGAAGACTGTAGGTCAGTTTTAACCTCAGCCAACATGAGGTTAACCGGATGTTCACCTTACTAATGTTCTTTCGTATTAATTTTAATGCTTGTTAAATTTACATTTTATATTTGATACTCATTTTCCCAATTCACAAAATTGGCTTATTGAAAAATGATGAAAATAGTAACAAATATCATTCGTAAAAATGCTCCAATGGAAATAACTTCAGTGTGAATACAGAATGAGAAAATGTATGTGCTTTTGGCCGGGCACGTGGCTCACACCTGTAATCCCAGCACTTGGGGAGGCCTAGGTGAGTGGATCACCTAAGGTCAGGAGTTCAAGATCAGCCTGGCCAATATGGTGAAAACCCATCTCTACTAAAAATACGAAAATTAGTCAGGCATGGTGGCAGTCTCCTGTAGTCCCAGCTATTGGGGAGGCTGAGGCAGGAGAATCTCTTGAACCCGGAGGGCGGAGATTGCAGTGAGCAGAGATTGCGCCACTGCACTCCAGCGTGAGCAACAGAGTGAGACTCTGTCTCGCAAAAAAAAAAAAAAAAAGTATGTGCTTTAGAAGAGATTCTGTGTGTATGATGTTTTCAGACATCAGCTGATACAGATAAGGAAGGATAATGACTATCTGAACTTATTTTTTTTTGGCCTGCATTCCATTCACCATTGGTCAGTACATTGCCTGTCAAATATCTACATGTCACCATCAAAGTTATCACATCATTTTTAAAGTACATTAATTTCTCTGGTAATGCATTTAGTTAGGTAATTACTTCACGTCTCAGTTTAAAATTTGTCATGCAATATTATGGATGAATCCAAAATTACAGAAACATCACCCAGAGTTGTATTCCTTTAAACAAAGTACAAAATAAGACATTGTTGCTGAGAAGCTTGTAAAAAGTGTTAGCAGTAATAACAAATATAATCAGGGGGAACAAATGCTATTGGAAAAGTATTGTTGATAAATTACATAATTCAGTGACAATGTGGAAGAACAATTCCTATGATTTGCCTTCTAGATGGTATTATTCAGACAAAACCACTGCTGTACAGTGTATGAATCATATGATGTGTGTTACATATATCAGTGAGAAGTCCGTAAAAACTTACTCTGTTTATCCCTGGAAACCTTTGAATATAGACAATGAGGCTATGCTGGGAAGTAAGTTTTGATGTGGACTAGAAAGGGTGAATCATGACTTTTAATGCTGGAGCACCAGCTATTTGAGCAGTAGCGAAGGTGATTGTAAATGAAAGGACTATACAAGAAAGCCAATCAACACATCCCTTTCTTAAAACACAGCAGTTAATTATCAACCGTAAACCATTCTAATGGTGATTTAGTGTTGAAGGGGCTAGAAAACACAAATTTTGATCTCTTGAGTCCAGTTTTATAATGCCATATGAAAAACTGGACAGGAAGTTACAAAACTTCTTCCTACAATACTGCCTATATAGAGGAAAAGTATTCACGTGAAATTTTTGAGATAAGGACATAAATTTAAAACATTTCCTTGAGATGGTGTTAATGTTAGTAAAGGGCTTTTCCTTGATTGTAGATACCTTGCGCAAGTGGCCTATCAGCTAATCCAGTGTCTTGAAGAGCCATCACTCCAAGTCTTACGTGAATTTTAGTGGCAAAGAGATCTGATTATTTTAAGATTACACAACTCTCGTGCAAAGGCTCAGTCTTATAGAGCTTCATTTTTTCCCCCATCGTCTCATTATTTTTGCTTACCACAGAAACATAAGGTATGTGGGGGCTTATTTAAAACTGTATCTAAATACAGCATAAAAACAATATAATAACATGAAAGAATGCTTCCCTGAGTTGAATGCAAAGGACAGATTGGGAACCCATTTAACATCATCTACAGGTAGATTTTTTGGTGACCTGAGTGAAAAGTTTATTTTGAGAGAAAGTATGTAACCAAAAAAAAAAAAAAGGTACATGTGGATCAGTGAAAACAAGAATGTAAACCACATGTTTATTCTTAGAATAGCAGAAGAGTGGCAAGCTTCCTTTTTTGTTTTTTTGTTTGTTGTTGTTGTTTTGAGACGGAGTCTCACTCTTCTGCCCAGGCTGGAGTGAAGGGGCACGATCTCGTCTCACTGCAACCTCCACCCACTGGGTTCAAGTGATTCTCCTGCCTCAGCCTCCCAAGTAGCTGGGATTACAGGCGCCTGCCACCATGCCCAGCTAATTTTTTTTTTTTTTTTTTTGTATTTTTAGTAGAAATTGGGTTTTGCCATGTTGGCCAGGCTGGTCTCAAACTCCTGACCTCAGGTGATCCACTCGCCTCAGCCTCCCAAAGTGCTAGGATTACAGGCATGAGCCACTGCGCCTGGTGCAAACTTCCTTTCTTTATGAATATATTACTGTAATATAGAACAACATTGTAGGAAAAGTAAAGCTGCTCGTTTACCATTTTTATAAAGGTTCAAGCAAGTTGTACACTAAAAGCTTAATGCTGACCTGACTTTATATTTTATATGACTTCTTTAAAAAACAAACAAACAATAATCACCTTTTTACACAAGCAATTGAACTGGAATTGTGTACTTCTGCTTTTTAGAAACCATTCGGCCGGGCGAGGTGGCTCACGCCTGTAATCCCAACACTTTGGGAGGCCGAGGCTGGTGGATCACAAGGTCAGGAGATCTAGACCATCCTGGCTAACATGGTGACACCCTGTTTGTACTAAAAATACAAAAAAAATTAGCCGGGCGTGGTGGCGGGCGCCTGTAGTCCCAGCTACTCGGGAGGCTGAGGCAGGAGAATGGCGTGAACCTGGGAGGCGGAGCTTGCAGTAAGCCAAGATCGCGCCACTGCACTCCAGCCTGGGTGACGGAATGAGACTCCATCTCAAAAAAAAAAAAAAAGAAACCATTCAGTGCCCCATATTTTGTGTCTTTTCATCACTACTGTGCTATGGCAATTTAGTCAGTGATCACTGTCTCCTTTTACTTTCCACCCAAACAAGAATCCGTTTGAAACATTTTCAGTACTGGAATAAAAAAAATTTTTTTAAATATTTTATTTTGTTTACTTTCTATGAATTACAATTGCTAACATTTTTTAAATGCCATGTCATCTGTCAGTGGTCAGTCTTCTAGAAGTGTGTAAAGACATGTTTTTGCACAATATATTTTGGGAGAAGGGGAGATTTTCATCAAATAATGTTTGTATTTTTTGTATTCACTATCATAATTAGTAAATGTATAAATATGTTATATTTCTTCTATACCTAAATTGAGATGGCTTGCTGCAATGTCTTTCTTCATTTTATAGGTTAGTCTTTCTGAGGCTGACACTTTTGAAGCTCTTGGACTTGCACATTAGGGAAAGTCCCAAGAGATGTACACAAATACCTTTAAAATAGCCTTCTGGACTCGATTGTTAGATTTCGCAGAGTAATGGTGAAGTTAAAGAGATTAACATGTTTTTCCATTAAATGTATTTTTCTTTTTATAAGTTCATATTTAAGAGCATTCAGAGTGTTTTCAGAAAATTCTGTATAGTGCAAATTTTAATAATAACTATGACTGTTTAAAAAATTACTATTTGTAGCTGGGTGTGGTGGCTCACACCTGTAATCCCAGCACTTTGGGAGGCTGGGGGGTGGGGGGGGGGTGGATCATGAGGTCAGGAGTTCGAGACCAGCCTGGCCAACATGGTGAAACCCCGTCTCTACTAAAGATACAAAAAATTATCTGGCATGGTGGCAGGCGCCTGTAATCCCAGCTACTCGGGAGGCTGAGGCAGGAGAATTGCTTGAACCCGGGAGGTGGAGGTTGCAATGAGCTGAGATCGCGCCAGTGAACTCCAGCCTGGGTGACTGGGCGAGACTCAGTCTCAAAAAAAAAAAAAAAATTACTATTTGCAGATGTGAGAATGTACGTATATATATACACATGTACACACGCATACACACACACATATATATTTTGAATTTTGTGCTATGTGCATATATTATCTGGTCAGAACAGATACAGGTATAAACAAATAATGAAGGCAGTTGTTAGTGTATAATCAACCTTACCCAATGAGAGGTCTGACCTTTGCCCCTAGCTCTAGGCTCTTGTAATGTTCTGCAACATAAGAGTGTCACTCCTCAGGGCTTTGGCTGTGGGACAGTCTAACAATGTGATTTATGATAGGTTTTGGGCTGTGCCATATCAATTTTTACCTACCTCCAGAGGAACTTGAGTTCAAAGCTATTAGCCCAACTTCTGGGAGGAACTGTAGACTAAAGTTCAGCCACACAAACAATAAATAGGTGATCAAGCCCTAATAAAAACTCTGAACACCAAAGGCTGGGATAAGTATTGTCCCACATTGTGACTGGAAAGAGATAAAGCCATCTATGACTCCATGGGAGAGGGACTGGAAGCTCCACATTGGACCCCTGCTAGACTCTGTCCTATATTCCTGTGATGCTTAATTTTAGGAGTCAACTTGACTGGATTCAGGGATACCCAGATAGCTGGTGAAGCATTATTTCTCGGTATGTTTGTAAGGGTGTTTCCAGAAGAGACTGGCATTTGAATCAGTGGACTGAGTATGGAAGATCTACCCTGATGTAATGTGGGCAGGCACCATCCAATTGTCTGAGGGCCTGGATAGATCAAAAAGGCAGAAGAAAGGCAATTTGCTCACTTTGTCTCATCTGGAGTTGAGACACCCAGCTTCTCTTGCTCTTGGACATCAGAACTCCAAGTTCTCCAGCCTTTTGGCATCAGGATGTGCACTAGTGCCCCTTGGTTCTCAGGCTTTTTGGATTTGAACCAAGCCATGCTACCAACTTCCCTCATTCTCCAGGTTGGGACTTCTCAGCCTCCATAATCATGTAAGCTAATTCCTCTAACAAATCCTCTGCCATATTTATCTATCATTTATCTATCCTATTGGTGGTCCTGTTTCTCTGAAGAATCCTAATACCAGGAGTGATTCTAGAGGAACAGAACTGTAAGGATGAGCTTCCTAAATTGGTTTTGGGACTTCTGGAATTGGCTCTCTAGTGTGATTATATTTAAAAATGCTAAGGACTCTGTTTCCAATAGTACAGAGAGCACTGGTTGTCCATGGCATGAACTGTTATACAGATATCAAAATATCTGCATTAGATACTCCTAATCAACCACTTATAAGAGGCAGGAAATCAATGACTCTGTATATAATACTTTTGAATGTTTATGAAAAACTGAGTGTATTAGTCTGTGTTGTGTTACTATAAAGGAATACCGGAGGCTGGGTAATTTATAAAGAAAAAGGATTTATTTGGCTTGCAGTTCTGGAGAGCTAGAAAGTTCAACTTTGAGCATCTGCATCTAAGGGCTTCAGGTTGCTTCCACTCAAGGCAGAAGGTGAAGAGGAGCCAGCATCTGTACCTCATATGACAAAAGAGAAAGGGGGGCAGTGCTGGGCTTTTTTTTAACCACAGCTATTTCTTGGGAACGAATAGAGTGAGAACTCACTTACCCTTTTCCACCCACAGGGAGGACATTAATCTATTCATGGGGGATCCACCCCAAGGACCCAAACACCTCCCATTGGGATCCACTTCCAACATTGGGGGTCAAACTTCAACATGAGGTTCGGAGGAGACAAATATTTACCATAGTGCTAAGGAATATAATGATATTTATTGGTTGTTCCTAATGTTACTGCACAAAGTAATGAAAGAAAAGAATGAGTTAAGGGATTCAAATTCCCAGCTCAAGCAATGCATACATGACCTCAGAGCTTCTAGATGTACCCTGTGGAAATTTTCTCTACTGGAGCCATAGGGCTAAAATTGCTAAAAATCAAACACAAGTCCTCATCATGCGATTGGCTGAATTAAATGAAAGTTGAATCCCTAGCCTCATAGGGCATCTACTGTTAAAGTGAGGGCATTGATTGGGAAAGAATGGGATCCTGTAAGTTGACTTGAAGACATGTGGGGAGACATGATGAAGCTGGGGACATTGAGCACTTAAATTTTGGTGAGTCTTTTTTGTGAGCAGAAGTTGCCTTCCCACCCCCAGAAGCAGTGGCATTCTTACCCACAGTGGTAGTGGCCTTTCTACACTTAACCCTGCATTGTCTAAGGAAATAATAATGGCCCCCTGAGGCATTTGCCGAGAAAGACAATGCTGATTCTCCCCATACCCACTTCTATCACCTTTTTGCTTTTAGGCTTATAACTAGACTCAAATCCCAGCAGGCTCCTAAAGGTGAGGTACAAAGTCTGACCAATGAGGAGGTATGCTACACTCCAAAAGGACTATTTGAATTTTCTAGTTCGCACAAGCAGAAATCCAGGGAACATGTGTGGGAATGAATATTAAGTGTATGGGATAATGGTGGAAGGAACATAAAGTTTGATAAGGCCAAATTTATTAATATGGGCCCACTAAATAGTAATTCTGAATTTAATGTTGCAGCTTAGAGAGTTAGAAAGCATACAAACTGGTTGGTTGATTGGCTGAAATATTAATCAAAAGGTGGCTCACCATGAGCAAGTTGAAGATGCCTGATCTCCCTTGGCTTAATGTGGAGGAGGGAATTCAAAGTCTTAGGGAGATTGGAATGCTAGAGTGGATTGGTCACCTAAGACCTACTTACCCACACTGGGAGGGTCTGGAAAACATACCTTACCAATACACTGAGAAATAGACTTGTGAGGGGAGTGCCAGCATCCTTGAAGAGCTCTGTGATTGTTCTTCTCTGCAGGCCAGTCTTTACAATGGGAGTCACAGCCACTCAATTAGAAAACCTAAATGCAATGGAAGTCATTGGATCCCAGATGGCAAGGGCCAAATGCTGACACTCAACTGTGAAAAGCAAGATGGGTGTGGTACTGTTACGTACAGTAGCATCAAAGTAGCAATCAGGATAACCTGATTTATGCAACCTATGAAAGTGGTTGTTTGATCATGATGTTCCTAGAAGTGATATAGATAAGAAGCCTACTAAATTTTTACTTGATCTGTATGAGGAGAAAAATTATAGGTCAAATGAACAAACAAACATTTAACCTGAATCATAAAAACATCATCATAACCCCTCAATCAGTTCCCAGTCTTGAGCAGATTTACAGACCCGGAACTCCTTGAATGAGGGAAAGCCAGGTCCCATTAAGGAAGGACCCTAGTACAATACCAAAAATTTATAATTTTAATCTTTCTTTCACCCTTCCCCAAAGAGACCTATGGTCTTTTATCAAGGTAACTGTGCATTGGTAAAAAGGAAATAATCAGACCTTTCAGGAACTACTGGCCAGTGTTCCAGTAGTCCCTGAAAGGTCTGATTATTTCCTTTTTCCATGAGACCAAAAGCATCACTGTGGCTCTCCAGTCAGAGTAGGGTCTTATGGAGGTCAGGTGATCAGTGGAGTTTTAGCTCAGGTCCAACTCACAGTGGATCCACTGGGTCCCCATCCATCCTATGTTATTTCCCTGTTGTGGAATGCATAATTGGAATAGACGTACTTAGCGACTGGCAGAATCTTCTCATTGGTTTTCTATCCTGTGGAGGGAGGGCTACTATGATGGGAGAGGCCAAATGGAAGCCATTAGAGCTGTCTCTACCTAGGAAAATAGAAAATCAAAGGCAATACTGCATTCCCAGAGGGATTGCAGAAATTGGTGTTATCATCAAGAACTTGAAGGAGGCAGGGTTGGTGATTTTCATTACATCAACATTCAATTCTCTTATTCTGTGCAGAAGACAGAGAATGACAGTGGATTATTGGAAGCTTAACCAAGTGGTGACTCCAATTGCAGCTGCTATACTAGATGTGGTTTCATTCCTTAAGCAAATTAACATAGCTCCTGGTAACTGGGAGGCAGCTTTTCATCATGAGCAATTCTAGGCCTCCAGACAAATATTTAAGAATGTGTCAAAATTATTTCAGTCCTATGGCGTAGTGTGGAGCAAAAACTATCAATGATAAACTTCATGCCAAACCTCTGCAGTATATATCTTACATGAATGCATAAGACTGAGCCCTGTCAATCGAAATCTAAATCTAAAAGTGCATTCCTTCCAGCACTGCTCACAATAGCAAAGACTTGGAACCAACCCAAATGCCCATCAATGATAGACTGGATAAAGAAAATGTGGCACATATACACCATGGAATACTATGCAGCCATAAAAAAGGATGACTTCATGTCCTTTGCAGGGACATGGATGAAGCTGGAAACCATCATTCTCAGCAAACTAACGCAAGAACAGAAAACCAAACACTGCATTTCTCACTCATAAGTGGGAGTTGAACAATGAGAACACATGGACACAGGGAGGGAACATCACACACCAGGGCTGGTTGGGGAGTGCAGGGCTAGAGGAGGGATAGCATTAGGAGAAATATCTAATGTAAATGCCGGGTTCCTGGGTGCAGCAAACCACCATGGCACGTGTATACCTATGTAACAAACCTGCACATTCTGCATATGTATCCCAGAACTTAAACTATAATTAAAAAACTTTTAAAATAAATAAATAAAAGTGCATTCCACTATGCCTCTTAGTAAAACTCATTGAAGAACATAAAAAGCAGATGTTGAGACATAGTTTTTGAAATGTGGCTCAATTATTTAAAATCTAGTATACTTTGACATACTGCTATATAAATGATAATAGCTAAGATCGATGTAAGATAATATGTGCAAGGCTTTTGGCTTAAGTACTTTTTAGGTACTAACTCATTTACTCTTTATAACAACAGTATGAGGTAGGTACTCTTATTTTACTGATTTTATAGATAAAGAAACTCAGGCATAGAGATGTCAAGTGACATACTCAAAGTCACAGAGCAGGCAAGTGGCATAGCTTTGGTTTATACCCAGGTGGCTTAGCTCTGGAATCTGTACCCCCATATTAGTTTGCTAAGGCTCCCATAATAAAGTACCACAAACTGGGTGGCTTAAATAGCAGACATTTATTTCTCACAGTTCTGAAGGGTAGATGTTCAAGATCAACGTGTTAGCCAGGCATGGTAACGCCTGTAGTCCCAGCTACTCAGAAGGTTGAGGCGGGAGTGTTGCTTGAGCTGAGGAGGTTTTGTGTTTTTGTTGTTGTGTGTGTGTGTGTTTTTTTTTTTTTTTTTTTTGAGATGGAGTCTCACTTCTTTGTCCAGGCTGGAGTGCAATGGCATGATCTCAGCTCACTGCAACCTCTGCTTCCTGGGTTCAAGCAATTCTCCTGCCTCAGCCTCCCAAGTAACTGGGATTACAGGCACGTGCCAGCACACCTGGCTAATTTCTGTATATTTAGTAGAGACGGGGTTTCACCATAATGGCCAGGCTGGTCTCGAACTCCTGACCTCAAGTGATCTGCCCACGTTGGCCTCCCAAACTGCTGGGATTACAGGCGTGAGCCACCATGCCTGGCCAAGCCCAGGAATTTGAGGTTGTAGTGAGCTTTGATGTGGCCTGGCCTACAGAGTGAGACCATCTCTAAAAACTAGCAAACAAAAACAAGATCAAAGTGTTGACAGGGTTGGTTTCATTCAGCTTGTCTCCTCAGCTTGCAGAAGGCTGTGTCTTCATTTTGTCCTAACATGGTTTTTCCTCTGTGCACACACATGTGTCCTAAGCTCCTCTTCCTATAAGGACACTAGTCACATTGGATTGGAGCTCACCCCAATGACCGAATGTCACCTTAGTTATCACTTAAAGACCTCACTTTAAATACCATAGCATTCTGAGTGGTATAATACATAAAGTTTGGAGAGGCATAATTCAGGTCATAAAAGTCCCTAACCTAACCTCAAGTGATCCACGCGCCTCAGCCTTCCAAAGTGCTGGGATTACAGGCATGAGCCACCATCCTGGCCAACATGGTAAAACTCCATCTCTACTAAAAATACAAAGATTAGCCAGGTGTGGTGGCTCACACCGGTAATCCCAGGTAGTTCAGGAGGCTGAGAGGCAGGAGAATCGCATGAATCCAGGAGGCATAGATTGCAGTGAACTGCGATCGCACCACCTCACTCCAGCCTGGGCAACAGAGCAAGACGCCATCTCAAAAAAAAAAAAGTCCCTAACCATTAAAATAGTGAATATTTTACCTATTATGTTTGTAATTATACATGTATGCACACACACCACACATTTGTGTTGAAGATAGTTGAAAATTGCTTAAAAAGTGGAAAGATTTTCTCCCTGGCATATGTTATTTTATATATATATAAATATGTAATTTTTATATAAATATATAAAATATATTATATATATATATAAATATGTAATTTTTATATAAATATATAAAATATATTTTATATATATAATATATATTATATATATTTTATATATAATATATATTATATATATATTATATATATAATATATATTATATATATATATGTAAAATAGAATCTCTTCATGGCACTTGGTTGGATCTAGCTATTGTGCCATAGGGTGTTAAATTAGATTTTGTTATGCCTAAATTTATTCAAGTCAAAATAGTCTGTACCATAACGATCATCAATAACTCCCAAGGATTCAATGCAAAACACCCGTCTGTAAACAAAAAAAAAGACTTGATTTTTGACATTTTGGAAAACTTCCCCCTTTGTTTAGATAGACTGCTGTGGTCATATCCTTGAGTCAAGTTGAATGAAACTGCTACAAATTAGGATCCAGATGCAAATGTGGGCTTTATAGCCAGCTGACACAATGTACGACCTTGAAAATAAAACCAAGAACACCATGCAGGAAGGTTTAAAGCAAGTGGAAGAGTAAAGATAAAGGAATTTGGCTGGGAGCATAAAGTAGGAATCTGAATAAAGGATTTTGGTCTGCACTTAAACTGTGTGCAAGCCTCATTTCATTTAAATGAGGTAAAAAGGCAAATAGATATGGCTATAAAGTGGGAAGCCTGAGCCGATGTTGCAGTGTTTAGCCTAAAATATTCTAGCTAGACACCCTAAGCATATTGCTTATATTTTATAAAATGAATTTGGTACAAATTCTTAAATATCTAAATTAAATATCTCAAAGTAAAATTTTGGGGATTATTTAGACAATCCTCTGGCTAATTTCAAGTGCTTTTATGTTGTTGATAAGAACAAAAAGCTTCCTTTTCTCTATGTCCCAAATTAAGACTGAAATTCATAAGCCCCCAAAAGCAATTTGTTGTCATTTTTCATAAGACTTACATAATATTAAAATATGCACCTATCTTCAGTAGCTATTATCCAAAAAGTATATAAATAAAGACAAAGTTAGAGGCAAAAGTTACTATCAAGCTGTAGTAATCCAGACAGTGTGGTAAAAATAAGGATCCACAGATGAATGGAATAGAATAAAGAACGTAGATATACACTTGCACTTACATAGACATTTGCTTTTTAACAAAGCCAATGAGGAAAGAAAAGTCCCTTGGAATACTAAATATCCATATTTTAACAAAACCCCTTGACTCACACCTCATACTATACAGAAAAATCAATTTTGGATCATAGACCTAAACATAAAAGCTAAAACCATAAAACCTTTAAAGGGAAATAGAATATTTTTATGACTTGGGGATAAGCAAAGGTACCATCAGGTACAGAAAGTAAAATCATTTAAGAAAAAATTGATAAATTATATTTCTTCAAAATTAAAAGTTTCTGCTAATTAAAATGAACATTAAGAAATAAGCTAAGACTGGAAGAAATATTCACAAAGAAATATTCACAAATAAAGCTAAGACTGGAAGAAATATTCACACCTGACAAAGGACGGGTATGCAGAATACATAGAGTACTCCTACAACTCAGCAATAGAAAGTCAAATAACCTAATTAAAACTGGGCAAAGTATTTGAATAGACAATTTATAAAAAAAGAAGTACAAATTGCCAATAAAATCATTAAAGAGTATACGATGTCAACTGTCACTATGGAAATACATATTAAAACCAGGAGACAAGACACTACCACCAGAATGACTATAATTTAGAAAGATAAACATTACCAAATGCTAGTGATGTTATAGAAAAACTGGACCTCTCATACATTTTTTGTAAGGATTGTATAATGCCACAACTAAATGCTAAATGCTAAAACTAAAGATATCCCTACACTATGGCCCAGCATTTTCACTAATAAGCATCTACTAAAGGGAAATAAAAGCATATATTCACAAAAAGACATATCCAAGAATATTCATAGCAGCTTTGTTCAGAAAAGCCTCAAAAAGGAAATAGCTCACATGTTCAGTTAGAGATTGGATAAACAAACTATGGCATATATAGTGAAATACTCCTCTATAATACAAATAAATGAATTATACATTGCATTCAACATGAAGGCTTAGTGAAAGAAGATTTAAACAAAAGGGTACATACTTTGTGACTCCACTTATAAGAAAGCCTAGAACAAACAAAACCAATCTGCAGTGGAAAAAAAAATAACATTGGTTGCCTCTGGAGAGTTGTTGGGGTAGGAATTTACTGTGAAGGTTATGAGAACTTTCTTACAGGAAGGTCACGTTCTATATCGTGATATGGGTTTGACTGTGTACAGATGTATGTATTTGTCAAAACTCAGTGAATATACACTTAAGAGTTGTACATTGTAGTATATGTACATTTCACATAAACACACACAAATATTGAACTCTAAAGTGCTTACATAAATAAAAGAGATTTAATGGATGGGGGATGGATTGATGGATGGATATGATAAAGCAAGTATACTAAACTGTTAATAGTAGGACCTTGTGGAAGATATACAGGTACTCATTTAAAATTCTTTCAATTTTGCTTTATGTTTGAAAATTTTTATAATGTTCAAAGAAAAATATCAAAAACAACAACAGAAATTAGTTTGTTCATGTTTCAGATAAAATGACAT
This sequence comes from Homo sapiens, assembly GCF_000001405.40. Taxonomy (NCBI): domain Eukaryota; kingdom Metazoa; phylum Chordata; class Mammalia; order Primates; family Hominidae; genus Homo; species Homo sapiens. The sequence continues at coordinate 88,179,627 of NC_000003.12, forward strand.
TTTACTGACAGAGACTGCCAGAATATTATTTTGGTTTGACATTACTAAGTAGTTTGTCTACTTATGCCAGAGTTGGAATGATTAATTAAAATACCCTTAACATACATAATAATGTGGTTTGAAACATTTATGAAACAATAATCTCAAAACTGAGGAATATGCTAATATTCACACTGAAAACTGAGGAATATGCTAATACTCACAACTTGACATGTAATTTGAATGTCTATATGTTTTAAAAATCTAGAATTTTGAGAAATTTGGATTTTTAATCCATATTAATCTGTATGAAGTTAACTCCCAACTATAACAAATTTAGCATATCAATAATTAACTTCTCAACATACATACAGTACAATAAATACTATAAATATATAACAGTCTTGAATAACTAAGCAATAGGTAACATTTTCAACACTAAGTAAACTTGAATAATAAAATGTTTTAGGGGCTGCATAGAGCTATGTATATGGATAAACAGATGCCTTTTATTCTAACACAAATTTGCTCTGAGGGATAGGCTTATTTTTATTGACAAGTTATCAATTTTCTCAGGATTTTAATAAAATCTTCATTTTTACAATATTTTTTCATTTTATTTACTTTTTATTTAAAACAAAATAGATTCCTAAGCAAATTAACACAAGATTTTTTTCCACTTTAGAGTACCTACTTTAAATTGTTTAATTTTAATTTTATTTAAATGTGTTCATTGGATCACATTTTACTAGAAACTAATTTGTTAAGGCCCAGATAACATGTGATAATACTGCAAAACTAATTTATTTTTCTTCATCCTCCCTTCTTACCCATTGATTTTTTTTTTCTTTTAAAATTAAGAAAGAATCAGAGTACTTTATCTGTCCTCTTCTTGTTCAAAACCCAAATGCTGCTGCGGATCATTTTGAAGGAAGGAAGCTTATAATAGCACCTTAAAGTAGAAAGTGGAAATTTGGTGACATCTTGTGGCCAAGGCTTTTCTCAGAGTGTTTCATGTCTATGTCTTAGAATTGGCTTTGTAGTAATGCAATTCCAACTGGTAAACTTACGCTTCTGAGGGTACTTGGAGACTTTCTGGAAAATTTGGCTGATCTAAAGAGTGTTAAGGCAATCAGTTTTCTGATCCTCAATGTCCTTTGCATTTTCCCCAACGAACTTGGTTTACGTGCTATACCATGTTTCCAGCCTTATTTCTTTTTTCTTTTCTCTTTTTTCTTTTCTTTTCTCTTCTCTTCTCTTCTCTCTTTCTTTTTTCTTTCTTTCTTTCTTTCCTTTCTTTTTTTTTCACAATTGCTGTTCTTCCATTTTACAAAATAAACACCTACTTCTCATCCCTTCTGAGTCTCACTATAGTGCATTGCCCTGTGGTATTAAAAACCTCTGGATGCTAGTCAAAGAGAATTTTCAATTATTAGTGTTTGTAAAGAGAAAGGAAATCACTATAATGATTGTTCAACAAAAGTTTTGTTAAGTCAAGTGGTTGCTAAACTATCTTTTAAATTATTTGATTCTAACAAAATTAAAGAAAAACTATGCTTTGGGAGGTCAAGGTGGGAGGATATCTCGAGCCCAGGAGTTCAGGACGAGCCTAGGTAACATAGCAAGATCCCATCTCTTAAAAAAAAAAAAAAAAAAAAAAAAGGAAAAAAAAGAAAAAAGAAAAAAATTAGCAAGGCCCGGAACACCTGACTGTAGTCCCAGGTACCTGGAGAGCTGAGGTGAGAGGATGACTTGAGCCTAGAGGCCAAGGCTGCAATGAGCTGTGATTATACCACTCTACTCCAGGATGAGCAACAGAAGCTGTGTCTCAAAACAAACAAACAAACAAATTGAAATAAGTTTTCATCTGATGCTCTGCTTACTAAAAGTAAATCTTGACAATAAATTACTATCTGATTATTTTCCTTTTGATCTAAAATTTGCATACATTAAAATGGACAAGTAAATTAGGAATGCATTTAAATTTGGATGATATTGTAATTTTGTCTCTACTTATAACCATAATTTGGGTATAAATCATGCTTACACCCAAAACCAACAACAACAAAAAATTGGAATGGAATTGATAACAAACCCTGACTTAGTCAAGCAGTAAGAATATTAATTCATCTCAGTAAATTATGGATTTCCAGTAAAATATGTGAACTAGTTAGGTTGTTTTGATCAATTATATGACAGTAACAATTGTAATAATTCAATCTGGAAGACATTTTTTACCACAAAATATTGTGGGGAAGTTTCTAAAACTTATGATCACATTGTTGTTGCTTAGAAATATTGTACAATGATCAATAAGTCTTTTAAAAGCACAAAATGGTGAGGTCACTTCCAAGATGGCCAAATAGGAACAGCTCCAGTCTGTAGCTCCCGGTGAGATCAACACAGAAGATGGGTGATTTCTGCATTTCCAACTGAGGTACCTGGTTCATCTCATTGGGACTGGTTGGACAGTGGGTGCAGCCCACGGAAGGTGAGCCGAAGCAGAGCGGGGCATCGTCTCACCTGGGAAGCGCAGAGGGTCAGGGAATTTTCCTTTCCTAGCCAAGGGAAGCCATGACAGACTGTACCTGGAGGAAAGGTACACTCTTGCCCAAATACTGCACTTTTCCCAGTCTTAGCAACCAGCAGGCCAGGAGATTTCCTCCCATGCCTGGTTCGGCAGGTCCCACGCCCAAAGAGCCTTGCTTACTGATAGCACAGCAGTCTGAGATTGGCCAGCAAGGCTGCAGGCTGGAGTGGGGAGGGGCATCTGCCATTGCTGAGGCTTGAGTAGGTAAACAAAGTGGCCGGGAAGCTCAAACTGGGCAGAGCCCACCACAGCTTAGCAAGGCCTACTGCCTCTCTAGACTCCACCTCTGTGGGCAGGGCATAGCTGAACAAAAGGCAGCAGACAACTTCTGCAAACTTAAATGTCCCTGTCTGATAGCTCTGAAGAGAGCAGTGGTTCTCCCAGCATGGCGTTCGAGCTCTGAGAATGGACAGACTGCCTCCTCAAGTGGGTTCCTGACCCCAGTGTAGCCGGACTGGGAGACACCTCCCAGTAGGGGCCGACAGACACCTCATACAGGCAGGTGCCCCTCTGGAACGAAGCTTCCAGAGGAAGGATCAGGCAGCAATATTTGCTGTTCTGCAATATTTGCTGTTCTGCTGCCTCCACTGGTAATACCCAGGCAAACAGCGTCTGGAGTGGACCTCCAGCAAATTTCAACAGAACTGCAGCTGAGGAGCCTGTTAGAAGGAAAACTAAAAAACAAAGGAATAGCATCAACATCAACAAAAAGGACAACCACATCAAAACCCCATATGTAGGTCACCAACATCAAAGATCAAAGGTAGATAAAACCACAAAGATGGGGGAAACCAGAGCAGAAAAGCTGAAAATTCCAAAAACCAGAGCACCTCTTCTCCTCCAAAGGATTGCAGCTCCTTGCCAGCAATGGAACAAAACTGGATGGAGAATGAGTTTCACAATTTGACAGAAGTAGGCTTCAGAAGGTTGGTAATAACAAAGTTCTCCGAGCTAAAGGAGCATGTTCTGACCCATCACAAGGAAGCTAAAAACCTTGAAAAAAAAGGTTAGACAAATGGCTAACTAGAATAACCAGTGTAGAGAAGACCTTAAATGACCTGACAGAGCTGAAAACCACAGCACAAGAACTTCGTGATGCATGCACAAGCTTCAATAGCCAATTTGATCAAGTGGAACAAAAGATATCAGTGATTGAAGATCAAATTAATGAAATAAAGCAAGAAGACAAGATTAGAGAAAAAAGAGTGAAAAGAAACAAACGAAGCCTCCAAGAAATATGGGACTATGTGAAAAGATCAAATCTACGTTTGATTGGTGTATCTGAAAGTGATGGGGAGAATGGAACCAAGTTAGAAAACGCTCTTCAGGATATTATCCAGGAGAACTTCCCCAACCTAGCAAAGCAGGCCAACATTCAAATTCAGGGAATACAGCGAACACCACAAAGATACTCCTTGAGAAGAGCAACCCCAAGACACATAGTTGTCAGATGCACCAAGGTTGAAATGAAGGAAAAAATGTTAAGGGCAGCCAGAGAGAAAGGTCAGGTTACCTACAAAGGGAAGCCCATCAGACTAATAGCGGATCTCTCAGCAGAAACCCATCAAGCGAGAAGAGAGTGGGAGCCAATATTCAACATTCTTAAAGGAAAGACTTTTCAACCCAGAATTTCATATCCAGCCAAACTAAGCTTCATAAGTGAAGGAGAAATAAAATACTTTACAGACAAGCAAATGCTGAGAGATTTCTGTCACCACCAAGCCTGCCTTACAAGAGCTCCTGAAGGAAGCACTAAACATGGAAAGAAACAACTGGTACCAGCCACTGCAAAAACATGCCAAATTGTAAAGACCATCGATGCTAGGAAGAAAGTGCATCAACTAACGAGCAAAATAACCAGCTAACATCATAATGACAGGATCAAATTCACACATAACAATATGAATCTTAAAGTAAATGGGCTAAATACCCCAATTAAAAGACACAGACTGGCAAATTGGATAAAGAGTCAAGACCCATCAGTGTGCTGTGTTCAGGAGACCCCTCTCACATGCAGAGACACACATAGGCTCAAAATAAAAGGATGGAGGAAGATCTACCAGGCAAATGGAAAGCAAAAAAAAAAGCAGGGGTTGCAATCCTAGTCTCTGATCAAACAGACTTTAAGCCAACAAAGATCAAAAGAGACAAAGAAGGCCATTACATAATGGTAAAGGGATCAATTCAACAACAAAAGCTAACTATCCTAAATATATATGCACCCAATACAGGAGCACCCAGATTCATAAAGCAAGTCCTTAGAGACCTACAAAAAGACTTAGACTCCCACACAATAATAATGGGAGACTTTAACACCCCACTGTCAGACAGATCAATGAGACAGAAGGTTAACAAGGATATTCAGCACTTGAACTCAGCTCTGTACCAAGCAGACCTAATAGACATCTATAGAACTCTCCACCCCAAATCCACAGAATATACATTCTTCTCAGCACCACATCGCACTTATTCTAAAATTGACCACATAATTGGAAGTAAAACACTCCTCAGCAAATGTAAAAGAACAGAAATCACAACAAACTGTCTCTCAGACCACAGTGCAATCAAATTAGAATTTAAGATTAAGAAACTCACACAAAACCGTTCAACTACATGGAAACTGAACAACCTGCTCCCGAATGACTACCAGGTAAATAATGAAATGAAGGCAGAAATAAAGATGTTCTTTGAAACCAATGAGAACAAGGACACAACGTACCAGAATCTCTGGGACACATTTAAAGCAGTGTGTAGAGGGAAATTTATAGCACTAAATTCCCACAAGAGAAAGCAGGAAAGATCTAAAATTGACACCTTAACATCACAATTAAAAGAACTAGAGAAGCAAGAGCAAACAAATTCAAAAGCTAGCAGAAGGCAGGAAATAACTAAAATCAGAGCACAACTGAAGAAGATAGAGACACAAAAAACCCTTCAAAAAAAATCAATGAATGCAGGAGCTGACTTTTTGAAAAGATCAACAAAATAGAAGACTGCTAGCAAGACTAATAAAGAAGAAAAGAGAGAAGAATCAAATAGACACAATAAAAAATGATAAGGGGGATATCACCACTGATCCCACAGAAATACAAACTACCATCAGAGAATACTATAAACACCTCTACACAAATAAACGAGAAAATCTAGAAGAAATGGATAAATTCCTGGACACATACACCCTGCAAACACTAAACCAGGATGAATTTGAATCTCTGAATAGACCAATAACAGGTTCTAAAATTGAGGCAATAATTAATAGCTTACCAACCAAAAAAAGTCCAGGACCAGATGGATTCACAGCTGAATTCTACCAGAGGTACAAGGAGGAGCTGGTACCATTCCTTCTGAAACTATTCCAATCTATAGAAAAAGAGGGAATCTTCCCTAACTCATTTTATGAGGCCACCATCATCCTGATACCAAAGCCTGGAAGAGACACAACAAAAAAAAGAGAATTTTAGACCAATATCCCTGATGAACATGGATGCAAAAATCATCAATAAAATACTGGCAAAACGAATCCAGCAGCACATCAAAAAGCTTATCCACCACGATCAAGTCAGTTTCATTCCTGGGATGCAAGGCTGGCTCAACATATGCAAATCAATAAACGTAATCCGTCACATAAACAGAACTAACAACAAAAAGCACATGGTTATCTCAATAGATGCAGAAAAGGCCTTTGAAAAAATTCAACAGCCCTTCATGCTAAAAACTCTCAATAAACTAGGTATTGATGGAACCTATCTCAAAATAATAAGAGCTATTTATGACAAACCCATAGCCAATATCATACCGAATGGGCAAAAACTGGAAGCATTCCCTTTGAAACTGGCACAAGACAAGGATGCCCTCTCTCACCACACCTAGTCAACATAGTGTTGGAAGTTCTGGCCAGGGCAATCAGGGAACAGAAAGAAATAAAGGGTGTTCAATTAGGAAAAGAGGAAGTCAAACTCTTCCTATTTGAAGATGACATGATTGTATATCTAGAAAACCCTGTCGTCTCATCCCAAAAATCCTTAACCTGATAAGCAACTTCAACAAAGTCTCAGGATACAAAATCAATGTGCAAAAATCATAAGCATTCCTATACACCAATAACAGAGAGCCAAATCATGAGTGAACTCCCATTCACAATTGCTACAAAGAGAATAAAATACCTAGGAATCCAACTTACAAGGGATGTGAAGGACCTCTTCAAGGAAAACTACAAACCACTGCTCAACGAAGTAAGAGAGGACACAAACAAATGGAAGAATATTCCATGCTTATGGATAGGAAGAATCAATATCATGAAAATGGCCATACTGCCCAAAGTAATTTATAGATTCAATGCCATCCCCATCAAGCTACCAATGACTTTCTTCACAGAATTGGAAAAAACTACTTTAAAGTTCATATGGAACCAAAAAAGAGTCTGCATTGCCAAGACAATCCTAAGCAAAAAGAACAAAGCTGGAGGCATCATGCTACCTGACTTCAAACTATACTACAAGGCTACAGTAACAAAAACAGCATGGGACTGATACCAAAACAGAGATATTGACCAATGGAACAGAACAGAGGCCTCAGAAATAACACCACACATCTACAACCATCTGATCTTTGACAAACCTGACAAAAACAAGAAATGGGGAAAGGATTCCCTATTTAATAAATGGTGCTGAGAAAACTGGCTATATGTAGAAAGCTGAAACTGGATCTCTTCCTTACACCTTATACAAAAATTAACTCAAGATGGATTAAAGACTTAAATGTAAGACCTAAAACCATAAAAACCCTAGAAGAAAACCTAGGCAATACCATTCAGGACATAGGCATGGGTAAAGACTTCATGATTAAAACACCAAAAGCAATGGCAACAAAAGCCAAAACTGACAAATGGGATGTAATTAAACTAAAAAGCTTCTGCACAGCAAAAGAAACTACCATCAGAGTGAACAGGCAACCTACAGAATGGGAGAAAATTTTTGCCATCTACCCATCTGACAAAGGGCTAATATCCAAAATCTACAAAGAACTTAAAGAAATTTACAAGAAAAAAACAAACAACACCATCAAAAAGTGGGCAATGGATATGAACAGCCACTTCTCAAAAAAAGACATTTATGCCGGCCTCAGACACATGAGAAAATGCTCATCGTCACTGGTCATCAGTGAAATGCAAATCAAAACCACAATGAGATACCATCTCACACCAGTTAGAATGGCAATCATTAAAAAGTCAGGAAACAACAGGTGCTGGAGAGGATGTGGAGAAATAGGAATGCTTTTACACTGTTGGTGGGAGTGTAAATTAGTTCAACCATTGTGGAAGACAGTGTGGCGATTCTTCAAGCATCTAGAACTAGAAATACCATTTGACCCAGCAATCCCATTACTGGGTATATACCCAAAGGATTATAAATCCTGCTACTATAAAGACACATGCACGTGTATGTTTATTGCAGTACTATTCACAATAGCAAAGACTTGGAACCAACCCAAATGTCCATAAATGATAGACTGGATTAAGAAAATGTGGCACATATACACCATGGAATACTATGCAGCCATAAAAAATGATGAGTTCATGTCCTTTGTAGGGACATGGATGAAGCTGGAAACCATCATTGTCAGCAAACTGTCACAAGGACAGAAAACCAAACACCGCATGTTCTCACTCATAGGTGGGAGTTGAACAATGAGAACACATGGACACAGGGAGGGGAGCATCACACACTGGGGCCTTTTGGGGGTGGGTGGAGGGCTGCGGGAGGGATAGCATTAGGAGAAATAACTAATGTAAATGATGAGTTGATGGGTGCAGCAAACCAACATGGCACATGTATACCTATGTAACAAACCTGCACGTTGTGCACATGTACCCTAGAACTTACAGTATAATAATTAAAAAAGAGCACAAAATGTGTCACACTGGGATAATATTATATGAGGCACTTGGAATAAAAGCACGTATTGAAGGAGTACAAATAAAATTTCTAATCGTGAAAAAGGAACTTATATGTAAATATGTAAATAGATACTGATGAGTAGAAAATTCAACATTAGTTATATTTTATCTATTATTTTTATTTATTTATTGTATATACTGAAGATGTGCAACATGATGCTTTTATACATACATACATATATATATATATATATATATATATATATATATATATATATATACACATAACATTAATACAGTCAAGCAAACTACCTGGGAATTGTGTATATTTGGAATCTGGTAAATAAAAAGATGTTTAGTGCAATAGAGGAATCTAAGAAGCACCAGGCTAAATCTTTCTGTGAAGTTCCTTTTGTTCCTGAATCACGCTTCTCATGTTCTCTTTTGACTGACAGATCCACCACAAGAGACATCTATGACTGGGATGAAAGGAATCATCTTTGCCAGGAGGGGCTGGCTCTGGGAGGACTCGAGGGAAAGCCTTGGGGCAGACGCCAGCCGTCAGAGTTCACAGCTGTGGTGATGGCTGCAGCAAGGGGAATTTTACTCATGACTCAGGAGGAGTCAAGGGACAGTACTGGACGCAGACACAAGGAGGGACACTGAATTCGCAATTTTTTTTTCTCCCTGTTGTTATCTAAATCCTGGTTTCTCTTTTCCAAATTGATGTTCTTTGGATTGGCCTCTCAGTTCTTCTTCATTAATAGTATACCAATGATGGATGATGGCTATGAAGCTCTAGAATGCCACTCTGTCTGTTGCAAATCTAAAAGAAAGTTATTTTACTCACCAAATATAACCATTACTTTGCTGGAAGAGGGTATTCTGGAGGAACTGTGAAAAATTAAATGTGAATGAGGAAAGCTTTTATAGCTAGACAAGGTGGTGGAAGTGGAGAGGGAAAGGTTTGTAGAATGTAAATGTTTAGTGGTCTACAGTAAGGTTGGCAAAGACTTGATTCCAAAACTCCTCCTCCCTCCTTCACCTTCAACCCATAAAGGACACCAGTAATCAATGTTCTCATTCTTTTCCACTGAACTCAAAGGAGGTCACACATTCTTGAATACATTTTTCCAGGCATCATTCCGAATCAACTGGTATTAGATAAAGAGGTAAAATCCAATCGTCATCTTGAGACAAGAAGTCTTCTCACGATCAAAGGTTTTTCTTGATCCAAGGATTCGGGGTCTCACGGGCTTCAAGGAATGAAGTTGTGACCGCAGTGGCGAGTGTTACAGCTCCATTAGAGAAACGCGCGGACCCAAAGAGTGTGAGGGGGCAAGATTTATTAAAGCAAAAGTGAAAGTAAAGCTTCCACGCGGTGGAAGGAGACCTGGAAGGTTTGCCGTTTCTGGCTTGGGTGTTTTAGGCTTCTATCCGCTTATGACCCCTCCCCTCTTCCTTTTTCTGTCCTGTAGAATTAGCTTATTTTCTATCCCCTTGTGGGTTGGCGTGCCTGATTGGTTAAAAACATCAGCCTGCAGCTAGAGCTTAAACTCCCTATATGATTGGTTGAAGTTTCAATCCCTCAGTTTGCAGCTGTGACTCATTTAGGCTTAGGGGAGAGTCCCCTTAGGGAAGTACCTGTTGACCCAGGAAGTCCCGGCAACTTAGCCACTTAGTCCCTCAATCTGAGGTCTAGATGTCTTCTGTGTTTCATGGAAAATAATGTTCTTGTTATGTTCTTCAAAAAGACATGTCCTTTGAAGCCACAATGTTGGCTTTTGTTAATATGATACTGATACAGGAGGTAGAAAGAAACCAGGCAGATAGTGAGTGTAAAAGAGTCCTCTAAAGAGCTTCCCTTTTAACAAAAAGCAGACCTAGAAATTATTTTTGTTTCTAACAAAGAGCAGCCTGAAAACTCGAGCTGCAAACATGGAGAAGCAAACTGGAAGCTTGCATGGGTGAATGCTGGCAGCTGTGTCAATAAAAAAGGGCTACTTGGGGGTTAGGCATATCCATTATGGAGGCTCCATCTTCCTTTTTTTTTGTTGTTAACATGTGCACAGTAAAGGAATAGGCAACATGGCTCAGGCCAAGCACAGGACCAGCTTGCATAATAAAAGATTAGGGTGAGGGTGGTCAGAAATGCGTGCTTTGCACACTTGGTCCTAACCAGTTTTTCAGGCCCTATGCAAATGGCACACCTGGTTCAACCAATCTTTTGCACCCTATGTAAATCAGACATTGCCACCTCACCAGGTATCTATAAAACCCCCTGCATTTCACCACGGATCCAGCAACCCATTTCTCTGGGACCCCTCTCTCCAGCAGAGAGCTAGTCTCTTTTTTTTTTTTTACCTGTTAAACTTCCGCTTTTAACCTCACTCCTTGTGTGTCTGTGTCCTTGATTTCCTAGACTATGAGACAGTGAACCTCAGGTATCACCCCAGATAATGAGGCTGTTGCAATAAATTACTCAATAACATTTATTTTGTATTCTGATTATAAATTTTATTGTGTTCCATGAGTATGGGATGTAGCCTTCAATAGTTTGTAATGTAGATATATTTATATAGTGCCTCTGGTATTGGAGATGATTAGTAGTGCAGCAAATGCTCCACAGTAATTATAGTGATTCTATTTGAAATTTGGTTTTGTGGGCCAGGGGCAGTGGCTCATGCCTGTAACCCCAGCACTTTGGGAGGCCTTAGCGGGTGGATCACCTGAGGTCAGGAGTTCGAGACCAGCCTGCCAACATGGTGAAACCCCATCTCTACTAAAAATACCAAAATTAGCTGGGTGTGGTGGTGGCTGCTTGTAATCCCAGCTACTCGGTAGGCTGAGGCAGGAGAATCGCTTGAACCCAGGAGGCAGAGCTTGCAGTGAGCTGAAATTGCACCATTGCACTCCAGCTTGGGTGACAAGAACAAGAAAAAAAGAAAGAAAAACAAAATTGGTTTTGTGAACCCCAAATATCTGAGACAGTCTCAGTTAATTTAGAAAGTTTATTTTGCCAAGGTTGAGGATGCGCGCCCATGACACAGCCTCAGGAGGTCCTGGCGACATGTGCCCAAGGTGGTCAGAGCACAGTTTAGTTTTATACATTTTAGGGGGACATGAGACATCAATCAATATACGTAAGATGTACACTGGTTTTGTCCGGAAAAGTGGGACAAGTCAAGCAGTGTCGGGGGCTTCCAGATCACAGGTAGGTGAGAGACAAACAAATACATCCTTTTGAGTTTCTGATTAGCCTCTCCAAAGGAGGCAGTCAGATATGCATTTATCACAGGGAGCAGAGGGATGACTGAATAGAATGGGAGGCCGGTTTGCCCTAAGCAGTTCCCAGCTTGACTTTTCCCTTTAGCTTAGTGATTTTGGGGCCTCAAGATTTATTTTCCTTTCACAGTTTAATAATGTGAAACTTGTATTTCTAATATAATTATGATATATAGATATACCTTTTTAGTTAATGACATGATGTCTAACATTTACACACAAATATATATTTGAAATTTCAGTGAGAAAACTATCTTGGTCACTTAAATATTTTAAATTAAAAAGTTTACTTAATATAAATAATGCATTTCATCATGTAATTATAGTTTAGAGAGATTTCAGAGATTCTCAATTCCTCCCTAAAAAGTAATGCAGAAATTCCTTGTACAGCATTTCTTATAGATAGTCATTGAATTCACGGTTCTCCAGAGAAACAGAACCA